>NC_000009.12:103826612-103978127 GCF_000001405.40 Homo sapiens
GTAATACAACATATTTATTCAAAAATAAATTATGGACAAAAATTTTAATTATTCTTATGACCACCTAGGAATCCCAAAACATATCATTCAACAGCAATATCCTATGATATCAAGAACAAGAGATTTCCTATTCCACTGTGTTTTTCACAGCCAATATGTTGGTTTGGCTAACAATATTATAAGCGCCTACAGAAAATCAATTAACATAAACATCGAGTTGATGCAATTACTTCAAGCTTCTCTGAGTAGACATAGTCTAAAAGAAAAATGAAGGCTTATACAGAGAATGCCTTTGACATTCACCATTGTTAATTTATTTCTTTGTGTCTTTGTCATAAATGTATTTAAGGAAAAGTAAAATCAGTAAATATAACAAATTCAAATCTTTTTACAATTATTTTTATGCATATAATGGATCAAGCCTATTTCATTTTCCATTTCATTTGTATGCTAAAAAATGTGGTTTAATGTTAATAAATAAAATTTACACTTTGATGTTTATAATGAAATATCATTAAAATATATATTTTTCATATAAATTCAATATAAATAATGTATAATATTCAATAAAATGTATTAATGTACTCATTCAAATAGTATTTTTCATATAAAAAGTAATTTAGGAAACCCTAGAAAATATTTCTATATAAAATCACTGTATTATGTAGCATCATTTTCAATGGACAATATTAAGAAAGACTATTAACATTATGTACATAAATATTCATTTTTGAGAAATAAGCATGAGAATTATTTAGTAAAAATATTAATTTGTTTTTCTTTTTATTTTCAGATAAAGGTAAATAATTCTTGGTATCTCTAAGTAATTTACTTAGTTAAAAACAGCTTAATAAAAACAAAACAAAGATAGTTGCATGAATGAGTCTTATTAGTTCCAAATTTTACTTAAGTTAGTGAAGTATAAAATATATTTCACAAAAAAATTAGCAATATTATCTCAAATATGCAACTACTTTTCAATTTTTAGTCCAGGAAATTTTGTAATTAAAATTATTCCCTCAACTATTGTTTTCCAAATTGTGCTCTATAAACTTGGGGGCTCTGATCAATACAATATAACCAAATATACAAGGAAAAAATGAATTGTAAGAACCAAAAAAGTACTTCTTTTTCAATAGTTTCAGCAACTGAAGTTGGGGTCAACTTTTATTCCAACAGCTTGAGTCACAGTTTCATTCCAAAGCTATCATTGCCAGTGCTGTGGATGCACTGATTGGCCAATCCTGGGTCATGTGGCCACCTCTAGAACTCTAAGGAGGATTAGGTTAAAACCAACAGCATAGACAGAATTTGGAAGAAAAATAGATGTCTACTAGAAAACCAAGATCATGCTCTGAGAAAAAGGGAGAAAGGATTCTAGGCAGGCAAAGTCAAGAGTTTCTACCAAAAGCAAGAAGATTTGACATGTCAATGTAGAGAAAAGGAGGAAAAACTTAGCAAGTTCTATGCCTGAATGTTTGTGTTCCTTCAAAATTCATAGGTTGAAACTCAATTCCTACTGTGATGGAATTAAAAGAGGGCCTTTGGGAGGTGACTAGGTTATGAGGGTGGAGCCCTCATGAATGGGATTAGTGCCCTTATAAAAGAGGCCCTAGAAAGCTTGTCTCCCCCTCTCGCCGTGTGAAGACACAGCAAGAAGGTGCCACCTATGAGGAATGGGTCATCACCAGACACTGAATGTGCTGGTGCCTTGATCTTGAGCTTCCTAGTCTCTAGAACTATGAGGAATAAATTTGTTTATAAATCACTAGTTTATGATTTTTGTTGTAGTAGGCTGAATGGACTAATACATTAGATACATAGACAGGAATTTATGTATTCTACTCAGAGCCCAGCTATAATTGAAATCTTGAATGTGTAAAGATTTTGTTTTCAAGATTTTGGTCAGCAGAGTGGGCAAAAGTACAAAGAAGAAAAATGGGCTTTAGGGGAGAATCCTTGCCTTTGCCAGTTTTCACAAGACATCTCTATTCCTCAGCTTGGACTTCATTCCTTTATTTTCAAAGCCAGCACTATGGCATCTCTCTGATCCTTATTCCAAAGTCACATCTATCTTCTTCTCTCTACAATAGCTCTGAAAGTTTTTGTTGTTGTTGGGTTTTTTTCTTTGGTTTTGGTTTTGCTTTTGCTTTTTTTTTTTTTTTTTTCAAGACAAGTTCTGGCTCTATCACCAAGGCTGGAGTGTGGTGGCCACGATCTTGGCTCACTACAACTACAACCTCTGCCTCCCAAGCTCAAGTGATCCTCCTGCTTCAGCCTCCTGAGTAGCTGGGACTACAGGTGCATGCAACCATGCCTGGCTAATTTTTGAATTTTTTGTGGAGACAGTGTTTCCCCATGTTCCCCAGGCTTGTCTCAAACTCATGAGCTCAAGTGATCTGCCTGCCTCGTCCTCCCAAAGTGCTGGGATTATAGGCTAAGCCATTGTGCCTGGCTGCTTCTCCATTTTTAAGAACTGATATTGGTTCCACCAGGATAATTTCCCAATCTCAAGGTCCATGCCCTTACCCATATCGAGAAAATTCAATTTGCCATGTAAAGTAACATACTCACAGTTTCTGGCAATTGGAGTGTGGACATCATTGGAGAGGGGAGGCATTAGTCTACCGCACTCATCATTTCTTCATCATTTGTTATAGGTGGATCTCTGATAAATGACATAGATTATCAAGATATTTTTCAAACCCAAATGTGAGAGTCTTCTTCTTTTAATAGGTGTCTTCATTTATTTTACATTGATAAGATGTTGGATCTTATAGCTGTCATTTTTTTAGGTTTTCTTCTCTTCAAACAAGTTTATAAACAAAGCAGTATCTAATAAATACAGTGGAATATATTCTTAAGTGTCTTGTGATTCCCAATAATGTGGTTGTTGCGGTCAAGTTTCTCTTCCTTTTTTTAAGTGTAGGTAAGACAATCGGATAACATATCAATATACTATTCCCTAGTGTACAGGAGAATATTTTTCTGTTACCGTCACATGTGTGCCTATGTGACTGGTTGGAAATTCTTATATTGTAATTTTTTCCCCAACACTTGGTACAGATTACTTCATTGTATTCTGGCTTCTGTTGAAAATATCATGAAGATACACCCCAAACCTACCTGATTTTTATATTAGATTTGACATGTTTCTCTTACTCAGAGGCTTGTATAATTGTCTTTAAAATCCAATACTTCTTTCAAAATAAATACCCACTTGATAGCTTTTCATTATGGGGACCTGTCACAAATAATTTTACATGTTGATATTCCTTCATAATCGTTTTGTCCCTAAAATTTTAGTTTCTCTGATATATTTGTTTGATTCATTTAATTATACTAGTAAACATGAGTTGTATATAAATAATACATTTTATATAACTTTTATCTCTTTTTCTCTGTATTCTGAAATATTTATTTTTAACTGTGTTTCACATCAATTTGTTTTATTTTCAGCAATTTCAATTTTGCATTATACTGCTCCTCAATTCATTTTAGGTTCTATAATTATATTCTCTGTTCTCTTAAATTCATTCCTTAGCCACGCTAGAAACTTTTTCATCTCACTCTATTTTATTATCAGTATATTTCTATTTCTTACAGATTTATGTTTTAATTTCCTGAAGAATATAAGTTGATACTGCCTCAGATCTTTTGGTGATAGTCTATTTCCTGAAGTCAATTATTCAACATATGCTTTTAAAGCCACCTTTTGCTTGTTTTTGAAGATACTATGTTGTTTATTAATTTATGGCCTATCAGTAGCTTAAGCCAACAAGTGAACTGTTTTATATTCTTTCATCAACCACTGCTCAACATATCATTGAAGACAAAAAGACTTGTGTTTTTTGTTGGTTGGTTGGTTTGTTTGTTTGTTTGTTTTAAACAGGGTCTCACTATGCCACCGAGGCTGGAGTGCAGTGGCGCAATCTCGGCTCACTGCAGCCTCTTCCTCCTCGGTTCAAGCAATTCTCATGCCTCAGCCTCATGAGTAGCTGGGACTACAGGCATGTGCCACCATGCCCGGCTAACTTTTGTATTTTTAGTAAAGATGGGGTTTCACTATGTTGCCCAGGCTGAAAAGACTCTAGTTTTTAGTTACTAAGTTGAGAAGACTTACCAAAAGGAAGCCAAAATAAGAAGAAATAAAATAACTTAGGAACTAATTTTCACCTCCTGCTTAAATTAAGATGAAGAGGTGGTTAAATAGGAATAGACGGTGGGAGTAGGGTATGAAAAAGAAATGAGAGTTAATAGTACTAAAATTTTCAGGGGTGGGGAAGTAGGCTAACACGGACTGGTTTGAGAAAGCAGGCTTTAGTTCTCCCCTTAAAGTTTTGGCTGCCAGGGACAGAGAAGTCATGAAAAGGAGTAAACCTAAATGGAACTAATTGGGGAATCAGATTCAAGTTATAGTCAATTCTAGATAAGTTAATATTTTTGCACGTCAAGTATTTGATTATGAAATATTATACAGCTAGGTTTATTTCATGTATTCTGATTCAGATATTTTGTATAACTTTGTGATTTTGTTTTATAGTTATTCATGTTTAAATGAGACCAAACCTAAAGAAGCAGTCTAGTGTTTCTCTCTTTCCCCAAAATTAGTGTAAGTGAATTATTCTTGTAGCCCCTCCTGTGTTTTATGTAAAATAATTTATTTAAGACATAGGTTCTATATTACATGTATAAGCATGCAGTAGTCTAAAATAAGTTGGGTAGTTTCAGTCAAAAAAATTGGAGGTATTTTTTAGTTATATTTGTTTTGTTGTATATTGTGACTATTTTGATTTTGGAAGGGTTGCAGTGATTGGTAAATGTCCTTTAGTAGATGAGGGTTCTTCTGATTCTGAATTTCTCATTTGCACTAGAATTAAATGACAACATTGCTGAGGAATCAGAGTAGAAAAAGTACAGTCTGCATATATTGTCACCTTTTATATTTTAACTGCTTTTGCTGGTGCTGAACTTCACTAGAGCAATGGCTTCTTATAGGGTATTTACCATCTTTTCCATGATCCAATCTTGCCTCTATATTCCTTCTACCACCAGAGAGGGGTTTATCTCTTATTAGAATAATCTCACATTACTATTAAGAAACAGAGTCAAAGAAAGAATTAGCCACACAGTTTGTCTCCTAGCCATGACAGTACAGCGCTCATTTCTTGAAATTAGTGTATATTTCAGGGGTTTTCTGAAAAGTCTTCTTGTACTTTCCTGCAGCACTGCACTGCTGCCTCAGGATGGGAATTTGTGCATTTTCTTCCCGTGCCATCTTTGATTTGGCTCAGTCTGAATTGTCTGGAGCACATGCTTGGCACTGTTTCATAATGTCAGCCTTGGTAAAGGTTTGTATTTTTCCTGCTCTCATTTCTTTTTAGTTGTTTTGATCAATTTCTTCTATGTCATCTATTACACCATGATAATTCTCAGAATTCTCTACTGCATGTTTTCTTATCTTTAAAATATTTATATAGCCTACTAAGACAGGTCTGGGAAAACAAACAAGCCTACAGGAAAGAGACCGGCAAGCTGCCGTAGCAATAGCATCTGGCAGTAGCAGCCAGGTGGGCTTACAATGCTCTGGTAGAGAACATATCAATATAAACTTCACAAAAGTGAGAGCACAGTGGCTTCCTCAGCCTGCACCTATGGCCGAATCCCTAAGCTGCTGCAGTGTCCTGATGACTATAAGGCAGAAGGTGCTGTTTGACCTGAAACAGTTGTATTTAACACATTACCACATACATGGACTGCAGGAGCAAGGGACATACTAGTGTTCAGGAAAAAAGGCCAAGCACACCAACATGACACATGCATACATATGTAACAAACCTGCACGTTGTGCACATGTACCCTAGAACTTAAAGTATAATTATTTATATATATAAAGGAAAAAAAAATCCAAGCATGGAGAAATGTAGTAAACCTTGGGTAAAGTAATTTTATTTATTTATTTTTTTTATTATACTTTAAGTTTTAGGGTACATGTGCACTTCGTGCAGGTTAGTTACATATGTATACATGTGCCATGTTGGTGTGCAGCACCCATCAGCTCGTCATTTGACATTAGGTATATCTCCTAATGCTATCCCTCCCCTCTCTCCCCACACCACAGCAGGTCCCGGTGTGTGATGTTCCCCTTCCGGTGTCCATGTGTTCTCATTGTTCAATTCCCACCTGTGAGTGAGAACATGCGGCGTTTGGTTTTTTGTCCTTGCGATAGTTTGCTGAGAATGATGGTTTCCAGCTTCATCCATGTCCCTACAAAGGACATGAACTCATCCTTTTTTATGGCTGCATGGTATTCCATGGTGTATATGTGCCACATTTTCTTAATCCAGTCTTTCACTGATGGACATTTGGGTTGGTTCCAAGTCTTTGCTATTGTGAATAGTGCCGCAATAAACATACGTGTGCATGTGTCTTTATAGCAGCATGATTTATAATCCTTTGGGTATATACCCAGTAATGGGATGGCTGAGTCAAATGGTATTTCTAGTTCTAGATCCTTGAGGAATCGCCACACTGACTTCCACAGTGGTTGAACTAGTTTACAGTCCCACCAACAGTGTAAAAGTGTTCCTATTTCTCCACATCCTCTCCAGCACCTGTTGTTTCCTGACTTGTTAATGATTGCCATTCTAACTGGTGTGAGATGGTATCTCACTGCAGTTTTGATTTGCATTTCTCTGATGGCCAGTGATGATGAGCATTTTTTCATGTGTCTTTTGTCTGCATAAATGTCTTCTTTTGAGAAGTGTCTGGGTGAAGTAATTTTAAAGCTGCAGGGGCAATCCGGAGCAATAAACTTGAGTTCCCTAATCATTTACCATCTTGCTATAATCACCTTTGCAGTGATCTATGGTGATAAATCAGGAAAGCTAGCTAAGGCAGCTACTCCTGGGGAAGACAAGATTAATACCAGAGCTTTGCAAGTAATTGTACCCATTCATAGAATGAAAACATCCTTCCACACTGGAAAATAATGGACATTCAAGAAATTAGAGAACTATGCAAGTCTTGGTGTAGAACAACTAGTTGACATTACTAGAAAAAAAAAAACTTTTTTTTAAGGGAGAAAAGCATATTCAATCTTTGGATTCACCGTTCTGGAGAAGATGGTGTCTCTTTAGCCCTGGAAAGAGTGACAAAAAAGCTCCAAAGTGAAATCATTAAAATGTTAGCTTTATCTGCAAATCAGATTTTATGCAGCTCTGAATATAATTCCAGTGTATATATATACATTATTGAACGCTTTTTGCCATGATATTAGCTACTGCAATAGACTTTACCATATAGGGGAATAGAGTACAAAATGGTCTTGGTTTTCCTATATAAAGTAAACTATAAAATTAAATTATGATCATAGAACCTTGTTAGTTTATTCAGTTGAACCTAGCAAGGAACTTGTCTTAATTTACTCATAAAAATGGATAAATACTTATTAAGTATTTGCTTTACTCTAAGAACTCTTTTAGGAGTTTGGGATATAGAGTTGAATAAGAAATTGCTATAGTATATGTAGGTAACTGTCATAAGCTAATAATTACAAGTGAAGTAATAACTAACTGGGTCAGGCTGTTACAGAAGGCCTTGTAGAGATGACATATGGGCTGGTATAGTAAATTCTTACAATTTTATGTTGCCTTGGCATCCATTTTAAATGTAACTTTAACTTTTTCATACCAGAAGCAGGGCTCAGTCACCTTGACTGTCTCTAGCTCTTCGCCTTCTCCCAGTTCCTCAGTGCGGTCAGTCCAGGTATCTGCCATATACAACTTCCTACAACCTACTTGACTGGTCCTGCTGACCCCCACACACCACATGGAATGTACGTATATGCCACAGCGACCTCCTCTCAGTCACAACATGACTTCCTGGAACCCGTGCCTGCTTGCATTAAACCCACCAATCAAAATTCCCCATAGGAAACCTGTTTGGATAAAGTCCTAGATGCCAATAAAGGCATTAACCTATAAATTCTTTCTCTCCTGGTACTGGCTAACCTCTGTGTGTCCTTCAGGCATGCCATGTACCCACAGGGTTTGTAAGTAATGAAATATTTCTTTTCATCTTGTGTCTCTTGTAATAATTTAAGGAGTGTTTTCCCTCTTAAAGATCCTATTAGGTTGGTCCAAAAGTAATCGCGGTTTTTGCCATTATTTTCAATTAAAATAACCTTTTAATTAATAACTTTTGTACCAACCTAAATAAATTAAAACAGCTGGGTATAGGAGGGTAATTTGTAGTTCATGGGCAGAAGGGTATTTCAGGATTGTGGACAGAAGGAATAAAATTAGCTAAGGAAAGATATATAAAAGATTACGCTGAGCTCAGTGAACAGTAAATCCTCCAATGATACCAAAGTGTGGAGTACATGAGGACAAGTGCTATGAAATTAAAGTGAAAAGAGAACTCACACTTAGTAACGAAGGTCTCTGTCCATCATACTAAGGAATGCCAATTTTTTTCTGGCTGGCAAACGACAAAAATTGAATTTTTTTTTTTTTTTTTTTTTTTTTTTTTTGAGACGGAGTCTCGCTCTGTCGCCCAGGCTGGAGTGCAGTGGCGCGATCTCGGCTCACTGCAAGCTCCGCCTCCCAGGTTCACGCCATTCTCCTGCCTCAGCCTCCCGAGTAGCTGGGACTACAGGCGCCCGCCACCACGCCCAGCTAATTTTTTGTAAAAAATTGAATATTTTTAAGCCAAGTACTGGCATGAGCAGATTTTCATTTGATAGTAATGTGAAGAAGAATAGGAAAAGGTGAGATTAACTTTAGAAATGAAATTTATCTAATTTCAATCTGTAAGCACATACTAAAACATTTTATCAGTAAAGTTGTATTTATTAAAATATTTTTGTTTTCCACTTTCAAAAAAATCACATTCCTTCTTCATATTTAATTAAAGAATTTTCAAAACTGGTTAATTAAACTATACACAGAGACAAATCTGAAACGTACATGTCATTGATATTTTAAAAGGTTTCACCATTTTAATTTGATGTTACTGCTTGTTGATTCCTATTTGTAGTAGAGTATTTCAGAGTCTCCATTTATGATTAAGTGTTTTTGTTAAGTATAGTTGGGGGTGGGTACAGGAGAGATTCATTTGTCTTCTGAAATCAAAACACAGAGAGTTTTATTCTTTTGGATTGATTAGTCAAAATTTGAAAGCCATACCAATAGTCTCATAGATAATCTCATCAGATGGACTCCCTGAAGACAAGCCCCTTAGAAATAGTGTGTTTTCAGGTTTGCTACTCATCTTTATAAATAATTTTACACTAAGTAAATTTGATTTTTATTTTTTCCGCAAATAGTTTTTCAAATTACAAGAATTAATTAAGACATAATTATTATAACAATGCAAAAAGTTACACTAAGCAAGACAATGCTCCCATCTACCTGCTTTTAATTCTACCTTCTGTGATAATCAATATCCACAGTTGACATCTACTCAGTGTTTAATAATTTTTCAATTGTTTCAGAAATATTAAAGTCTTGAAACTGAAAATATTGAAGTGTTGAAAACAATAGATAAAAACTACCTACTTACAAAAAAAAAGGGAGAAGAAAGAAAAGCTGAAAAGTGGATCTGAGCTTGCTCACCTGATCTTTCATCTTATATAAATAGCAGAAGTTTTAAAAGTGTGTTCTGAGCAATAAATTACCTTTATTAGGGAATATATTATCATTTCTCTCCCCTCCTCCCCTTATAAGAGGGTGAAGAGCTGCTTCTTCCCTATCCCAAAAGGCCAAGTGGGGTGGGAGGGGCTCCAAGAAAGACTAAGAGTTCCTGCAAGCAGGGGAGCTTGGCTTAATGTCCCCACAGGCCACAGAAACACTTAGGCCCCCTCCCTCATTACAGAGAAAGCTCAGTCAAAGCCCTTGGATGAGCAAGGCATGCAACCTCTGGAATTCGAAGACCTTCAGCTCCTGAACATCAAGAAGTTGCCTCTGTCCCTCCTGGGAATTCTTCTGGCAAAGCCTGGCTGAGGCAGCTACAACATGGCAGGATGAGGAAAGAGGACCATAGTGAAAGTAACCAGTCTTCCAATCCTTGGGAATTTACATGGACCCAGTGGCCTCTGAGAAAGGGAGACTAATTTCAGCTGTCTTTATAGCATCCATCCAGGAGGGATTCTTACTGACATGGGAGCACCAGAGGTAAGAAGATGTAGATTTGCCATCAAGAGCAGAAGCTGGTACAAGGTTTGAAGGGAGGTCACAAAAGAACACCCAGCGATTGCTTCACCTGTGTCAGAGAACTGTGCTGTGCTGAGGCAGCTGTAGAACTTTCGAAGAACATACACAGCTGTGATCAATGCAAAACTGTAGTCGAATCTCAGTAACACAATGTGAGTCAAAAAAGCAAGATTTCAAAGACTATATTCACATGAGTTCCTTTTATAAGGCTCAAAATTAGGCAAAACTATACAATATATTGATCAGCCATACACATGTCTGATAATTCTTTTTAAAAATGCAAAATAATGGCAAGCATAAAATTTCACAAAGCTATAATCTCTAAAAGAGAAACAAGGAGGCAAAATAGAGGAAGGGTCACTTTAGGGAGAAGTAAATTAATAGTATTGTTTAAGATTTTGGATTGAGTAATGAGTTTAACAATATTTATTATAGTACTAAAAATAAGGAAATGATCAAATAAATAAAAAGAACTTTGCTCAGGCCAATTATGTCAAAATATCATAAAAAAGGATTATGATTAATCTATTTCTCTTCACCAGAGATCCATATTTTTAAAAGAGTCTCACTGTAATATCTGTGTCCTCCATTGCAGTATTTTAAAAAAATTATTAACAGTTGCCAATGCCTTTCATTATGTGTTATAGTAGTGTCAGTAAACTCTTATGTATCCATGCCAGATGTAGGTCGGAACTGTACATTAAGAGGTTCAGGCTGGGTGCACTGCCCTCCAGCTTCCCATCAGTCTGCCCTTGCCCTCAGCTCTTGCTGCTCCAAATAGGGTGGTAGATAGAATGTGCCCTCAGTTACTTGCCTTATATTAATTTTCTATTTGATGAATGAAATGCGTTAAATCACTCTTCCTTCAAGCCAATCCTGCCTCCTTTAAGCCTTCCAGAAAGTCCTTAAAACCTCTTCACTGGGTTCCAGACTGACACAGATGTCTTCCTATTTCTTTGATCAGCTATTCACATTCTGGAAGGTGGAGCAAGTTGAAGCCACAGGCTAAAATTGCCATATTTCTAGCAGAAGTCATCCCAATTCGATTTTATTAATTTTAACCTTTTCTTTTTTCATAAAGGATTAATTTAATAAATTCAAGAAGCAATTGTTATTGAATTCTTATTAGATAAAAGTAAAAAATATTCTATTCTCTTGTTTCTTTGAGTAAATCTACTCTAAAAAGCTTTCTAAACTAAAGATACAAAATACTCCTTTGATGTTACTGTTGCTGGCCTGTAAGTTAAGGAGGGTTAGCAGGCTCCCTGGGGTTTTTCTCCAGTCACTTGTATTGCTTTGGAGTGGGCAAGGGAAGCAGTGTGATTAGTCTGTTCCTTTTTTGCATTCAGTTTGAGCCAGGGTACTTATCCATGAAAAAGATTTCAAATGCCACTCACCTAGGGCCTTCAATCTAGTTGTTCCCTCTGGCTGGGATGTACTCCCAGTTATTTGTTTCCCTAACTCCCTCTCCTCCTTTCAATCATTGCTCCATTTTTACGTTTTCAATGAAACTTACCCTGATTTACCTGTTTGATACCATAAATTGCCTCACCCAAGACCACAACATCCCTGAGTTTTGGTGGTTTTTTATTTTGTTTTATTTCAGGTTTGTTTTTTTGTTTTTTTTTTTGTTTGTTTGTTTGTTTTTTTTTTGCCATAGGACCTAATAACTTTCTGTTACATTATTTACTTTTTTTTTTTTAAAGAGACAGGGTCTTGGTCTGTTGCCCAAGCTAGCATTATAGCTCACTGCAGCTCAAGCAAACCTACCGCCACAGCCTCCAGAATACCAAGGGACCACAGGCATGCATCACCATGCTTGACCACTTTTTTTTTTTCATTTTTTTTCAAAGACAACATCCCACTATGTTGCCCAGGCTGGTCTTGAACTTCTGGCCTCAAGCACTACTCCACCTCAGTCTTCCAGAGTGCTGGGATTATAGGTATAAGCCACCATGCCTGGCTACTTATTTTTATGTTTACTGTTTTTTTTTTTTTGACTCCTTCAACTAAAATATAAAGTCCAGGGGGGTGGAGATTTTCATCTTTTAATTCCGGATATATCCCAAGCACTTAGAAATATGCCAGGCCTCTAATAGTAATCTAATAAATTGGAATGGAGTAAATATGTGAAGTTTATAACATGTTCATGGCACTTTTCCCAACTTCTCCTGGTGCTTTTTTTCTTTTTAATATTTTATAGTGAATATTCATTTTAGTAGAACTCTGGAGTAGGAAAATTAGATACTCTTAATGGAAGATTTTTCATTATCATTTTACCAAAATGAATTTGCATTGCCATCTTACCAAAATACCACAGAATTTTATTATTCCTATATAGACTTAAATAATCCACATGCCTGTTAAGTGTCTTCTTTTTTCATTGTCACCATACAAGTAAAGCAAATTAATTATTAGAATGGGAGATCATCTTGTTAGCCTGGCAACAGAATGATGTTAGTTGGATGATTTTAATTGCCTATAGCACCAAATACTGTTAGCCTGATATATCTGTCCTTCCTTAAAAGGAGAGATATGAGTAAACATTTGTGGTGGTTAATCAGGGAAACCTCTTATGGGCAGAATAATGCAAATATACTGTGGTTTTTCTGTTGTCTGCACCCTGCTTAACAAAGTTCTTGCACATCCTCACTGTGTTATCACAAAGCCTGGCTTTGTAAAGATGACATTGCGCTCATGCATTCTAGGGTGTGCAGACAGTACACCCTTGATTAAATTTTTAGCATTTTCTAGTCTTTGATAACAGGCAGCTTTATGTCATTTCTGCAGCAAGATGATCTCATCCATTGCATTTGCATTATCCCCAATTTTATTTTTAGAGGGTAATCTTAGCCTTCATTTGGAAAAGACATCGTGTCATTGCATTTGTATTTTGATAACATTTACCTATATGAAAGTCCTCATTTGAAGGTCAGATCACCTAAGTGTAAATAAGCACGATAAACAAATTACCATTGAAAAATAACAAGGCATTTTGCTTTTTGAATGATACCACATTCGACTTCTATGAGAAGAATTTTATGATTTTATGTCCACCATATAAGTTGGCAAATGTTTTATGAAGTCTTGATTCATTCGGTTATTCCAAATTCCATGCTATCTATTTGAATATCTGCATTAAGGAAAATTAAATTATAATGTTCATCACTTGGAGCAAATCATTAAATTTAAAAGATAAGAAATAATATGTATCAAACAAGATTTTACCTTAATATAATCTGTATCTGATATTGACCTAATATTTTTCTGAGCAGATTAATTAGCAGTAATAGCTCTTAAACTTTCACTTTGTATAACCCAAGAGCTGTCCAAATTATTTTTAATCCTAGTTACTTAAAATTAGATAAATAAATCTCCCTGTATTTTAATATTTTTTCACACTATTTATTGCTTCCCATTTTGTTTATTCTAGCATCAGCTCTTAAATAATCTATAAGATGACTTATAATTCAAATATATAAATGACAGAATATAAATTTAATAGGGTGAATCATGGGGTGCTACAACAACTGCAATTTCATGTGTAATATTATGCATCAACTTTTTATGGATAGTGGGTTTAAAATAATACAAACCTGCAGTGACTAAGGAGATCATTTTGTTCTTCTTTAGAAAACTGAAATCCTCAAGGCCTTCTAAAGTCAGGACATTAAAAGTTTTCCAAATAGTTAAAAGGTAACTTGAGAAATTTAAAAAAAATCCATTATGAAATTGAATGGTAAGTTATGAAGTTGGGTGGCAAGATCTCTATATAAACCGGGAGAAATGATGGAAGCACAGTAGTTCTCCCAAACTGGAAATACATGAAAATAATCAAAGGTATTTAGCAAATTATTTTTGCAGTATCAACTGTGGACCTTAGTAACAACCTGAGATATAAAAAGTGCTATGAGCAATATTATCTGTACCTCAGTGAATAAGCTGACATCAAAGATGTTTCTAAGGTTTTGATCCCTTACTGAAAGCAATAAGCTTAACTGCTGTGCTGTGCTGTGCCATTGCTTTAGGTCAGAAGTTTGAACTTCCTGATTTCAGATATTCTAAGTGTGAAATCATTAACAAAAATATAGAAAGTTATTCTCATCATGTTATCAAACCTCATGAGAAATACTATGCACAAATATAAATGCTTCCTGCTAGTAAAGTGAAGTTGTGGATACAACTTTTCCTATTATCATAATGTGTTATAGACGGTTTTGCATATGGGATTACTTGCCTCTGAACACATCTATATACAAAAGGTCAAAAGATTCTGACCTGAGTTCTGAGAGCTATATAGGCCATTATTTCTAAGCTGAGCAGAGGGGTAGGAGGTAATACACACATAGTGAAAAAACAATTTTATTCCCTTTTGTTGCCTTTCAGATAAATTGAAACCTAGATTGCTGATCCTGATGTCTGAAACATGTCCATTAAAAATTGTAAATAATATTCTGCACTTGAACAGGACAAACTCGAAACATGCAGTTGCCTTTATGGAATGTATAGCTTTAAACACCTAGGAAGAAATCATAGTGATTATTTGTGACTGGGGCAGGGTTTTATTTAAACTCAAATATCCCAGATATATGCATCTTTTGGGTCCCCTAACTGAATCATTTTCCCATATAGCTGTGGCCTTAAATTTAAAGAGAAGAAACAGGTTTCTCTGTTGACAAAGAGTAAAATTATGTCAAAGAATTAGAAATAAGTCTGTAGGCAAAAATATAATGTAGGTTAAAAGTCTAGAGAATTGGATTGAAATCTCATTCCTATAATTATTAGTTGTTTGGAAAACATTTACTGAAATAAGCTTCACCAATAACCACATATAGTAAAATAATATAAAGTGTAAAAATACTTTGAAACTCCACATACAAGAATTTTTTAAAATTCCTCGAACTGTTAGCATTTTAATACCAATAAGCTTTTCTCTTATTTTTTTCCTATAGCCCACAGGTAAATATACGTCGAAAACATTTTATAATATGTAATGCATTATTTAGAAAGAAGACTACCAAACCAAAAGGTACAATTAAAACATATTTCTGACAACTACAACATAATGCATAACTCAAATTTTTGAAGAAAATGAATCTCCTGTGCCTCATCCAGGCTTGACCCATTCATTGCCTTGTAAGTTCTCTGGGCCTTCTGAATAAATGTGAGAAGGGACAGGAAAAGAAAAAAATCCAATGAGAAAGCATTAACAGAGAGCAAGGTTAAAGGCTGTGGCCCTCTGCAGAGATTTACACTTTCTGAGACACTGAGAAGTAAAATTAAATCTGTTAAAAACAAATTCATTTGCCAATGCCCCTTGAGTCCTTCTGCCTAAAGATGTGGCAATGAGATGTGCCAGGCATATTTCCTGTGACAGAATATAGGATTAGGTATTGTATATGGATAACTGTAAACCCTCAGATGTCTATGTTTACCCAGAAAACACTAAGGCACCAAAGCAGCAGATTTTATTACTACTTGCACTTTGTGTGCTCAGCTTTAATAACCCAGCTGGGATAATCGATTTTCTCACCAACACCCAGGGTTCTGTTATGCTGTTATAGACAGCCCACATTCCAGTTTCCTTTTCTCCCCATAGATTTTTAAATAGCCTTCATATTGGCTACTTCCATCATTTCTCCGTCAATTCAGCAGGTTTTAAAACTAAGCATTCAGGGTAGAAAATCTTTCTCGCACTTATGGCAGAAAGCTCTAATTTATTTTGTAGTAATTGAAGAGGTTATCTGACCTTCCATGGAGCCATCATATTGAAGTTACATTATGTCCAAAAGTATATAGTAATTTTTAAGAAGATATCATTGCATAACAGAAGGAGTACATGGAGGTGGAATCAAAAATACTCACTTTTGTGTCCCAGGTCTGTCTCTTAGAAGGTGTCACTTAATCATTCTGTCTCCATAGCCTCATCTTTAAAAATAGAGATATTAATTCAAACAATTTTCCAAGACTGTGAGACCCTAAAATGAGGGCAGATGAAAGGGTTTTGTAAATGGATATATTATTTTGAAATAGTACTTAATTAATTGCATCTAGTTCATCTTTAAAGTAGTCTTACTTCACTGATACTATATAACATTATATGTCAAATGCATCATGCTTAACTTTAAAGACTGATCCAAATGCAGCCAACTAAAACACACATCCATTATTTCAAATTATTATGAGGAAGGTATTTCTAAATCTCACAACTGGTGGATACAGAACTTGAAACCAGGTCTTTCAAATTCAAGATTATTTTCTCTATTTAGAACATTGCCTTTCTTCAGAGGTGCTGTTTTACCAGCTGTTTTATACAGATGTGGAACAGAATCAAACCACTGATGAGACCAAAGACTTGCCGGTCTCCTTGTTCAAAATGAGGCAAAAGCAGTCAGAAACTGTAGCCCTACACAATGATAAACATGGGAAATACCCCATGTCTAATGGGAAAATACAACCAATCTCATTAAAATTAGCTGAGAGAAGAGGTAAAATTCACCCATGTAAGCTTATAGAAAACAGGGAAGAAGTAGAGATGACCTTATCTCTGTACCTGAGCCAAGCTGACTTGGCTGAATTCAGCCCACTGCATCTTGAACTGAGCCTATAATACAAATTCTGGTTTTTGTTTAGTTGCCTCAGGAGACAATGTCAAAACCCAGAAATCACTAAATACAGTAATTCCAATTCCACCTATGATATAGAAAGCTAAAAATGGTGTTGCTTCCATCATAATAATAAGAAAAAGCCAGATAATCTACAAAATTATAATTATTTTTGAACTCATCAGATAGCTGAGGTCTCAAAACAACCAAGTGTCCTGAAATCTGGGAAAAGACAGGTCACTCCAAAGAGACAAGAAGCACTAACTTCTCTGCAGAAAACCACAAGGATGAGGTTACAAGTGGCAGACAAGCAGATAAGATTTCAGCTAAAATATTTATCAAATTGCTAAAGATCAAATCTAAACATAAAATGTTAGGGACATTGAGAACCCTCCCATCCCTCTAGGATCCTAACCTTCACCTAAGCACAATGTAACAAGGAATTGAAGCTGATGCTATACTGAAGGTCCATAGTAACAACAAACAACAATAAACCCAGCTCAAGTCCTGACTAGATTGACTACTCACTCCACACACAAAAGACCTACCAAAATAACAGGCATGCTTATTTTCAGGCATAAATACCGTGTATGTCAATATCTACTGTTCCATACTCAATGACAAGCATTCAATAAAAATTATGAGAAAAATGCTGGGCACGGTGGCTCATGCCTGTAATCCCAGCACTTTGGGAGGCCGAGGCAGGCGCATCACCTGAGGTCGGGAGTTCAAGACCAACCTGACCAACATGGAGAAACCCTGTCTCTACTAAAAATGCAAAATTAGCCAGGCGTGGTGGCGCATGCCTGTAATCCCAGCTACTCGGGAGGCCAAGGCAGGAAAATCACTTGAACCTGGGAGGCGGAGGTTGCAGTGAGCTGAGATTGTACCATTGCACTCCAGCCTGGGCAACAAGAGCGAAACTCCATCTCAAAAAAAAAAAAAAAAAAAAAAAAAATTATGAGAAGAAGAAGAAAAATAGCTCACTGTCAAAGGATAAAACAGTCAATAGAACAATAGAACCAGACTAAAAAAAAAATGACCTGTTACAGGAACTATCAGAGAGGACATTCAAATTATCTGGAGTTAATATGGTAAAAATTTGTGTGAAAAGGGTGAATGCCATATGTAAACATACAGGGAGTTTTATCAGAGATAGGAAACCCATAAGAAAGAGATGGTTGATACCCCAGAAACAAAATTTTACTAATAGAGATTTTTTAGATGCCTGTGACAGGCTCTTCAGTAGACTTGACACAACCTAATGAAAAAAAAATCAGTGAATACAGAGAGAGGGTGATAGAAATAATCAAAACTGAAGCAAAAAGAAAACAAAATAATTTAAGAAAAAACAAAAACAGAACAGAGAATCCAAGAGCTATGAAACAGTATCAAATGGTTTAACACACACTTACTTGCAATCTGAGGAGAAAGTAAGGAAAAAGAAATATTTGAAGTTATGTATAAAAGAAATTGAAATCACAGATTCAATAAGCTCAGAGAAACACCAAGTAGGAAAAAGTACTCCCCCTAAAAAATATACATAGAGCATATCATATGCAAACTGTTAAAAACCACAGATAAAAAGAAAATCTTGATGCCATCCAAATAAAAGAGACACATTAGATACAAAGGAACAATAATAATAATTATATCAGAAACTTACAAAGGTAAGTCAGAAGGCAGTAGACTGACATATTTAAAAGTTTTAAAGAAGGAAAAAATCCTGCCATACCAGAGTCCTACATGCAAGAAAAATATCATTTAGAAATGGAAGTTAAATAAAGGCAGTTTTAGACAAAGTGGTGAAAATTGATTATCAGGAGACTCAAATTACAAGATAAGATAAAGGAAATTCTATAGGTAGAAAGAATATTACACAAAAACTATATCTTAAAAAAGAAGATCCCCAAAAACTGTAAAAATGAGGGCACATGTAAAATAGATTTCTCAGTTTTATTTAAATAAAGCAAAATAATTTCAATATAGTTGGATCTGTACCAAAAGTAAAATGTAGGTAATAAGGGAAGACAAAATGGCAGGAAGAACTTGGAAATACATCATAAGGTTTTTATTGTTCCTTAATTGAAGACAGATAACAATTAGATATGAATGTTATATACCCTGGTGGAATCATTATTAGTTTTTTTTTAAAAAGAGGTGTAAATATGAAACCAATAATGGAGAATAGAATGATAAATAAATATTTAATTAATCAAAATTTCAGCAGAAAAAGAGAAAAAAAAGAAGGGACAGAACATAGAGATAACTAACAAGATGGTAAGATTTAATCTGAACATATTAATATAACATTAAACATTATTAATCTAAACATACCATTTAAAAGACAGGAGATTGTCCATAGAAATTTTTTTAAAAAGTGATATGCTGTGTGAAAGAAGCCTCTTTAAATAGAGCAACTTTGATTAGTTAAAAGTAAAATGATGAAAAAAATACTCTAAGCAAACATTAATTAAAAGGAAGGTGAATTCACTGTCTTAGTATCAAGTAGTCTTCAAAACAAGAAAAAGTACAAGGAACAATGAAAAATTCACATAAAAGTAAGGAATTGTTTTAAAATTACAAATTGCCTTAAAAATTCAAAATGTGAATGTACAGAACCAAAGAGCTTCAAAATGCATGAAGAAAAATTAATAGAAATGAAAGGAAGAGTAAACGAATTCACAATGACAAAGGGAGATATCAACACTCCTCTCAGTTATGGGTAGAACAAGTAGAGAAAAAAATCTATAAGGGTATGGAAGACCTAAAAACCAGTTTGACCTCGTCGACATTTATAGAATGTCATTTTTATAATGTCAATTCTATGAGTGTTTCAAAAATTTTCAAAGAATTTAAACCATATAGAGTATGTTCTCTGACAAAAACATAATTAAACTAAAAGCCAATAATAGAAAAATACCTGGAAAATCTTAATATATTTAAAAATTAAATAGCACACCTATAAATAACCCATAAGTAAAAGAATTCAAAAGAAAATTACAATTTAAATTGAGTGGAGGTAATAACATACATTATCAAAATTGGTGGGATGCACCGAAAGCAGTGCTTAAACAAAAAGTTACGGCATTAAACGAAGACATTTATAAAATTACGCCAGAAAGGAAGAACTGTCTAGAATCAATGAGCTTTCACATTTGGAAACTAGGTTTTATAAAGCAACTTGGAGACCAAACCTCTACATAGAGAGAGCGGAACGAAATTCCTCTCACACAAGTTTTGTAAAAGGCCCGGTGCAGTGGCTCACGCCTGTAATTCAAGCACTTTGGGAGGCCGAGGCGGGCAGATCACGAAGTCAAGAGATTGAGACGATCCCAGCCAACACGTTGAAACCCCGTCTCTACTAAAAATACAAAAATTAGCTGGGCGTGGTGGTGCGTGCCTGTAGTCCCAGCTACTCGGGCAGCTGAGGCAGGAGAATTGCTTGAACCCCGGAGGCAGAGATTGCAGTGAGCCGAGAGTTTTTGGGCCATTGCACTCCAGCCTGGTAACAGAGGGAGACTCCGTCTCAAAAAAAATAAAAAAAAGTTTTGTAATAACAAGTCAAAATAGATGAGTAAAATTAATGCCAAGGGAAAAAGTAGAAAATCAATTTACTTTGAAGTATAAATGATAGACCAATCTTAAATGACTGTGAATTAAAAGTTTATGTAAAAATGGAGCTGTGTATCAAATCTAAATATATATATGAAATGAAGCCATAACAATTTTTAAAAATCAATAATGTCATAAATTAGAACCTAAACAGAAAAAGAGAGGGTTTAGTAAATTTAAATATAATATTCAACTAGAATATTACACAAAAATGATAATAGAAAATATTTTTTAGAAAGTTCATGAAGAAGTTGGGAAGGTAGCTCCCAAATGCATCTAACCAGTACCCCCTAAGGAAAGAAAAAAGAGATTTGCAGAAAAACAAAAATATCCTGAACAGTAATGGCTAAATTTTTTTAAACTCCAAATAGAAATATAATTTAAAATTCACAAGGTGGAATATATAATAAATAATTCCACATCTGATCACTATGAAGTAAAATCAAGTATATACATAAGACAAAAGATTAGTAGTTACTAGAAAGGAAAAAAACATTATCTAAAAAGAAATGATAATGAGACGAATAGTAGATGTCTCATCAGCAATAAAAATGAAGAAGATTGAATAATATTTTCAATATCCTGAGGAAAAATAAATGTTAACTAAAACATGATACACAGCTTAATCACTGTTTAATAGGATGGATAAAATAAACACATTTTTAGACATATCAAACTGATGATGATTCAATACTACAAAAAATGGTACCAATATAAAAGATGTAGAACACACTAGTGACTAACAGTAAATAAATAAATTTAGTTTTTAATAGGAAGAGCTAAAATTTTAGACAATAAAGTAGAAATGAGGAGTTCAATTGGTAATTAAAATGCACTAAAGTATTTTCTTTATTATGGAAAGGAAAGATATACTGAAAATATGTAAAATGTTGTTGAAAAATATATAGTCAAACATGTTAAAAATGTAAGAAGAGAAAATCAAGCTATTATCTCCCAATTGTAGGAAAGGAAATGGTACTAAATAGAATCCAAAGAATCCAATAGATGTCAGGAAAGGATGAAAAAAATTGTGAAGAAAAAGTGAGTGTTGATAATTGGGCTTTATCAAAATTAAAACCTTCTGCGCCTCAACAAACATCATAAATAATAGGAAAAGACAAACTACAGACTGGGAGAAAATATTTGTAAATTTTATCTGATAAAGGACCTGTAACAACAATATAAAAAGAAACTTTGAAACTGATAATAAGATAACTCAATTTTTAAAAGGAAAGATTTTAGTTATTATTTTACCTAAGAAGATACACGAATGACCAAAAATCACATGAAAAGATACTGACATCATTAGTTGTGGTGGACAAACTCCCCACCTCCTGGTGTTCACACTTTGTGTAATGCCCTTCCCTGGAGGATAAGTGGGACCTGTGATTTGCTTCTAAGCAATATGGCAAGGATGATGAGCTGTTACTCCTATGCTTATGTTATATAAGATTCTAACTAGACCTGACTCATTGGTTCCTGCATCTATCCTTGCGTGGAAACATATGAATCCTATAATCACAAGAACATGAATTCTGCAAAGACCTGAGTGAGCTTAAGAGCACATTTTTCTCCAGTCAAATCTGGGGAAAAATGCTTTCTGGTCAACAGCTCAATGATAGCCCTATGGAACTCTAAACAGAGGACCCAAATAAGCTATGACCTGACTTCTGACCCACAAAAACTGTGAGATAATAAATAAATGTGTGCTGTTTTACGCAGCTAAATTAGTGGTGATTTGTTATGAAACATAGAAAACATATATATTAGTAATGTGGAAAATGCAAATTAAAATCACAGGACAGATTTACCACTTTATACCCACTCAAGTGCCTTTAATCAAAATACCAGACAATAACAAATGTTGACAAGGATTGTAGAGCAAAACAAACCCTCCTACGTTGTTCATGCAAGTGAAATATTGGTGCAACCACTTTGAAAACTATTATGAAAGTTTCTCCAATGTTAAACAAAATTTACCACACAAGTCCACAATTACACTTCTAGGAATCTCCCTAGAAGAAATAAGAGAAATAAAAACATATGTCCACACAAATGAGGCGTGTGATGTTGTTACTAATTGACAAGAAGTAGAAACAATTCAGATGTCCATCAACTTGTAAATAGATAACAAAATGTATTACATTTTTACAATGAAATATTGCTCAACACTGAAAAGGAACAAACTCCTGATACATGCTACAAGGATATACCTCAAAAACATGCTAAGTGAAACAAGCCATATGTAAGCCATCAAATACTGTATGATTCCATTTATGTGAAATGTTCAGAAAGGGCAAATCTACAGAGAGATAAAATAGATTGGAGTAGCCTGGGGCTGGAGACCAGAACAGGAATTGATGCAAATGGACATGAGGGATCTCTCTGGGGACATAGATATATTCTAAAAGTAGATTGTGGTGATGGTTAAAAAACTCTGTATATTTACTGAAAATTAATGAATCATGTACTTAAAATGGGTGAATTTTATGATATTTAATTTCTATCTTGAGAAATCTTTTTAAAAAGCAAAAACTTAACATGTTAGAGATAACTACAAATGTAGTAGAAACATAATAAACAAAATACTTTATTAAGATACAGACTAACAAGTTGTTTATATGTTATTTTGAATTCAGCAATATGCCACCTTCAACAGACATATTTTAAAAACAAGTTGCAAAATTATTGATTAGAAAATGTAGACAAGATGTTATTAAACATATAACAATTGATGAAGCAATATTAATTTCAGCAAAAATAAAGTACGGTTTACAAGACATAAAGACAAGCAAAATAGTAGAAGGAACAAACTACAAACAGAGATAAATAATTGTAAACATTTATACTACTAACAATAGAATCTAAAAACATATTGAGCAAAAGCTGTCATAATTACAAAGCAAACATGACAAACACTACTCTACATAGTAGTGCACTCTATTGTACTTTTATCAGTAACTAAAAAATGTAATAGTACAACAAAAAGAGTATAGATATTTGAAAATTTAAAATAAGAATGATTTTATATACATGCACATTTAAAATGTATTACTTTTTAATAAACAGATTATTTTAGAGTAGTTTTAGGTTTACAAGAAAATTAATTGGAAAGTGCAGTGAAATACTGAAATACTCTTCTTAAGTGTACAAAATATAGATTTTTAAAAAGTCAGTACTAGGTTATTACAATTTTTAACATTTTTCAAAAAAATTCAATGTTATACATTCCACATTTTCTTTCAAGAAACAATTAAATTAGAAATTAGGGGAAATATATTTGTTTGGAAACGATATTATTTTTGAATTACTCTAAAGAAGAAATCAAAATAGATATCACAAAATACCTAAAACTAGACAATAATGAAAGTCCCATATACTAATATGGGTGGTATATGCTAAATGGTATTTATTGCACAAACTGTAGTGTTAAATACAATTATTAAAAATACATTAGTAGTTAATTAAAATAATAGAATAAAATTGTAATAACATGGATTCAATCCAAGGAAATATTTAAATAAATATTCAAGATGTAAGAAACATTAATAAAGTATAAGATAAAATGAAGAACTAAGAAAAATGATAAAATAAGTTTCTTAGAAAAGACTGGTAAACAAAGAAACCTCTTAACAAAACTTATTAAGAACAAGAAAAGATGGTTCAAATAATCAATATTAAGGAGAAAAGGAGGACATAGGATAGAGATGTGTAATTTCTTTCTTAAATTTATTTATTAGTTTTATAGATTCAGGGGGTACATGTCTATTGTCTGTTACATGGATATATGGTATAATGGTGAGGTTCAGGCTTCTAGTGTACCTGTGACCCAAACAGTGAACGCTATACCCAACAGGTAATTTTTCAGCCTTCACCCCCCTCCCCATCTCCACTTTTGGAGTCCCCAGTGTCCATTATTTCTCTCTGTTTGTCCATGTGTATCCATTGTTTAGCTCACACTACTAAGTGAGAATATGGAGTACTTGATTTTCTGTTTCTGAGTTATTTCACTTAGGATAACAGTCTCCAACTCCATCCATGTTGGTACAAAAGACATAATTTTATTTTTTATGGCTGTGTAGTATGTATGCGTATATATTATATATATATATATAAAATATGTGTGTGTATATATATATATATACACACACACACACATTTGTCACATTTTCTTCATCCGATCAAGATGTATAATTCCTAAGAAAAGGCAATGGTCAACTTTAGGTGAACAAATCAGACAACACACATGAAATACATATTTAAATAAAATTTACCTAAAAATAAATAGAAAATCTGAATGCACTAACAACTATTGAATAAGTTAAATTGTTACTCAAATATTTTCATCTTCCTTCCCTAAAAGGCCCAAATTCCAAATCTAATGAGTGATCTTTATCAAACTTTTAAGAGGTATATTAATTTTTTTACTACTTTCCAGACAAGAGTAAAATCAGAAAAACAACCACACATAATTCATAATCCTATCACATATTTAATAACATTGAAAAATAACTCAAAGTTAAAGAAAACTGTATATGATTTAATTAAAATAACTATAAAAAATCTTAAAATATTGAGTGCTGCTAATATCAAATGGATCCATCAATGTCTTTATAAACATAAATAATTCTAACATTTAGAACATAAACAGGCAGAGTTTATCTCTAGTGAAATAATTATCCATTATCAGAAAATTTACTTATGCAATTCACCATCTCTCTCTCTCTCTCTGTATATATATATATGTATATATGTGTATATATTATATATGTATATATGTATATATGTATATATGTATATATGTGTACATATATGTACATATATGTGTATATATATGTACATATATATGTACATATATATGTATATATATGTGTATATGTGTATATATGTGTATATATATGTATATATATGTGTATATATGTATATATATGTGTATATATATGTGTATATATGTGTATATATATGTGTATATATGTGTGTATATATGTATATATATGTATATATATGTATATATATGTGTATATGTGTGTATATATATGTGTATATATATGTATATATATGTGTGTATATATGTATATATATGTGTATATATATGTGTGTATATATATGTGTATATATATGTGTATATATATATGTGTATATATATGTGTATATATATATGTATATATATATTTTTTTTTTTTTTTGAGACAGAGTCTTGCTCTGTTGCCCAGGCTGGAGTGCAGTGGCGCAGTCTCGGCTCACTGCAAGCTCTGCCTCCCAGGTTCACACCATTCTCCTGCCTCAGCCTCCCAAGTAGCCGGGCCTACAGGCGCCGGCCACCGCGCCCAGCTAATATTTTGGTATTTTTGGTAGAGACGGGGTTTCACAGTGTTCGCTAGGTTGGTCTCAATCTCCTGACCTCATGATCCACCTGCCTCAGCCTCCCAAAGTGCTGGGATTACAGGCATGAGCCACCGCACCTGGCCCTCGATATATTTTAAAAGGGAAATCCCCAGCATTTTATAGAAGGTAGCTGTTTTTCATAATAAAATTCTCTGAAAAGTAAAAATTTAACATGCCTTCCTTAATTTTAATCAAATAGTAATATGTCATATATGTTAGCAAAAACAGTAGTGAAACATTGAAAACATTACTATTAAAATCAGAACGATGATAAGGAATCATCTTATTATTGTTACTCTTCAACAATGTACTGGAAATTCTAGCCTAAACTGTAGAACAGAAAACAAAAATGGGAAGAAGATTTAGAAAGCACAAAATTGCACTGAAATTATTCTATGTATGTGTTAGTCCACAAAGAAAATTCAAGGGCAACTATAAACAAAAAAATAGAAATAGTAATAGTTCTAGAAAGTTGTTTTCATATATTCATCATCTTTTTGATCCCTTTTTGTTCCACTTTCTGAGACCTCAGCTCAATTTTCATTTCATCTCATTTACTGAAATCTTAAAATTTCTTATCTATTTTTAATAGTGTTTAGCATTTCTTTTTGTTTTCCTAAAATAACTTTGCCTTATGTATTAGTTCGTTTTCATACTGCTGTAAGAACTGCCCAAGACTGGGTAATTTACAAAGGAAAGAGGTTTAATTGACTCACACTTCTGCATGGCTGCAGAGGCTTCAGGAAACGTACAATCATAGTGGAAAGCAAAGGGGAAGTAAGGCACCTTCTTCACAAGGTGGCAGGAAAGACAAGTGACGAGCAAAGGGGGAAGGGCCCCTTATAAAACCATCAGATCCCCTGAGAACTATCACCAGAACAGCATGGGGGAAATCACTCCCATGATTAAATTACCTCCACCTGGTCTCCTCCTTGACACATAAGAATTATGGGGATTACAATTCAAGATGAGATTTGGGTGAGGACACGAAGCCTAACCATATCACTGTAGAATTCAGTTCTTGTTTGACGGATGCAACATTACTTTGGGGATATTATTGATGGTTTTATTTGACTTTATCCTACTCAGTAATTCTTATTATAACAATTTTTATTCATAGTTTTGGTAGTATTTGTTTTTATTTTGAAACTATGCCTCAAATTCTTAGTGAACACTTTCTGGCATTTTATATTTCAGGATGTGACAACAAATGTTGATAGGCAAGACTTCTTACTGGGCTCTAGGATGATAAGATATTAAGTTCATCATTTCTCTGTGAGACCCTCAAATCAGCACATAAAGATTTTTCCTCTTAAGATGTTTTCTTCCTTCAGGCACCCATCCTCCAATCACCTATCAATATGTGTGTTCAGAAGGTGGGGAAGAGATAATACTTCCTTGCTGTCATCCTGAGAGCAGAGGGGACTAAGGGCCACACAATTCAGAGTGAATAAATTAATTGAATCCCATTGTTTTCAGCTCTCTCCATCAAATCTCCATCAAATCTGCTTTATGCTTGCCATGCAGAAGTTCCCTTAGGTATAGCCCCTTCATTCAAATTATCCTAAAGTCAAATAAAACCATCAGTAATATCCCCAAAATGATGTTGCATCCATAAAAGAAGAACTGAATTCTACAGTGATATGGTTAGGCTTCATGTCCTCACCCAAATCTCATCTTGAAATGTAATCACCATAATTCTCCTAAGGAAAAAGGAGGAGGCAACATAGCATAGTCATTGACAGAATGGAGATAGACTGCCTAACTTGGAATCATAGCACCATCACTTCCTATACAGTTAGCCTTAAGCAAGTTCACTTCTTTGTGTTTCACTATCCATATCTGTAGAGGGATAATGTTAACACTCTACTCTTAGGTTTATTATACAATAAAAAATATTTGTAAAGTACAAAGAGTCATGCCTAGGACATAGTAAATGTCATACAAGTATTGTAGTAACTGCTATATAGGTAACTACGTTCTAGACAAACTTTCAACTAGTCTCCCAATGTTATGACCCACACCTCTCTCAAAGAGAGTGGGTGCTGTCATGAACAGAGCTTACAGGAAATGTTCATTTCCATTGGTTTTCTCAGGGCTGGTACCTCCTCACCTAGTCCAGATTCAACATAAATTTATTAGTCAGGGCCTATGCTATGCAGAATTTTTTTCCTTTAAAGATGGGATCTTGCTCTGTTGCCCAGGCTTGAGTACAATGGCATGTTCATGGCTCACTGCAGCTTCAAACTCGTGGGCTCAAGTAGTTCTCTCACTTCAGCCTCCCGAGCAACTGCACTACAAAGGTTAAATATTTTCACTACCACCCTAGGTAAACCCTTCCTTAGGCTGTAAGGGTGTAGTTTTATTTTCTTTCTGTCTTATTTTTTAAGATTTCTGGGTTCAGTTATCACTTCTCCATCTGCTTTTGTCTTCCAAAAATTAGCAGAAATACTTCGTTTGCAGTTGTTCTCTCTCCTATTCTCTTTGTCCCTTGTGAAATCAATATGATTCATAGTCATATGCTTTTAATTTAGTAGTGATTAATATTTCAAACCACCACATTTAACCAGAAATTAATGTGTCATTTTTGCTTCTTCTTTTTCAAAATATTCTCAATATCAAGCATGAGCAATGGGATCTGTTTGTTTAGACATGTGTGTGCTCACATGTAGTTTTTGTGGGGTTAATGTCAGCTGTGGAGTCTTAGGAATTCCCTCAGGATACCTATCAGGAATGAAATGGCTGGGCTCCAAAACTCTTCTCCTCTACTCAAATAGAAATATTCCTTCTTTATTGAGTTTATTATTTAAAGAAAAGTTATTTGAGGAAACCACTAGTTTCACCTTTGTGGTTACAAAAAGGACAAAAATAGAAAAAAAATATGATCCTGTGCAAAGGTAGAAATAAGACATTTCCTGAGGATGTAGGAAATATATATATATAGGTCCCAGTCATGTGAGAAATATGTTGGACTCTGGGAGTACAATCTACTTACTGCATGTAATTTAGCAACTGAATGGATACAAATTGAAATCTTGATATGGTTTGGCTCCATGTGTCCACCCAAATCTCACCTGGAATTGTAATAATCCCCATGTGTTGTGGGAAGGTCCCAGTGGGAGGTAATTGAATCATGGGGGTGGGTTTTCCCATACCTTTCTCGTGATAGTGAATAAATCCCGTGAGATCTGATGGTTTTATAAATGGCAGTTTCCCTGCACATGCTCTCCTTGCCTGCCGCCATGTAAGACATGCTTTTGCTCCTTCTTCACCTTCTGCCATGATTGTGAAGCCTGTCCAGCCATGTGGAACTGTGAGTCCACTGAACCTCTTTTTCTGTATAAATTACCCAGTCTCATGTATGTCTTTATTAGCAGTGTGAAAATGGACTAATACCATTCTATTAACCCATTACAGTTGATATTTCAGGATAAAAAAATAAAACACAGAGCAAGCAATCCAGAAAAGAGCCAGGATGTAAGGGAGGAGGAGGTTGGGTGTATTCTCCCCTTCAAAATAGAGAGGAAGATGAGAAGGCTATTTGAAACCTTCCTGTTCCAATTAAGAAACCTAGAATAATAACTACAAGAACTAGTAAAATGTTTTAAGCTATTATGTGGCCATGTTTATATTTTTCATTTGTGTGTCCAGTCTGTCTTTTCAGTAAACATTTTTATGAAAAATCTGGCAGCCAGTTTTGGGGCTATTATAGAAAACAGTGGGTGGTAATATAAGTAAAGAAGAAAGGAAGATAGACTTAGGCACTGGGATGTGTTGTAGGAAAGAAAGTATTTCATGCTGGTCTTGGCTTGCTCTGAGAAATGCACTAAGTTTAGGAACACCCAGAACTGTGCAATTCTCCATCATTAAAGTTTCCAAGAATAAGGTACTGTTTTCTCTACTGTGTCAGCAAAAATAAAACAGCTGTTAGGACAAATTATCAGTAGATATTATTAAAATACCTTAAAATATGAGTTTTCCATGCTATTCCTGAAAATATTGAGTCAGCATTGAATAGCAATGCGCACAGTTCAGCAGGTGCTCCTTATGTTTTAATGGATTCATTTGCAAGGCAAAAGTGCACAGTGTCCAAATTGTTTCACATATAACTTTCCTTTTACTCTGAATCCCTCAGAGGAAAAGTGATAGTAAACAATAGCTTGGACATGCTGTTCCTGATTAGATTCAAATTTTAAAAGCCCTTTCTTATGGTTTGTCACGTGGTCGTTTATATCACTCTTTAGTAAGGGAAAATAAAAGGCACATCACAGGTGAGATGTGATGTCACTGACTAGTTGCTGTGCTGATGTACTCTCCCCATGTTTTTATTGTTTAAAAAAAAAAAGGAGAGAAAATATAAAACTTTGCATGGCAGAGAAAGGTAAGATCTTTTAGGGAAGTGTGTGTCAAACTAAAGCTCATGGCCCAATAGTGGATAATATTTTTCTTTCCTTAATAAAGCAAAGACATTCACAGTTGAATTTCTTTTTTATAAATGCTCCTTCTCTCAGTCATGTATATTCATTATGATTTCTACCCAAAGTCACTGACTTCTGTTTCACAGAGAAAATTGTAGAGTTTGTTCTTAAGAATTGTCTATCAAACACTAACATTTTCAAAAATTTGTGAAGCTCATGTAAACAACTTTCTACACCGAACTTTCTATGCCCATATAGCTCGTAATGGAGCTAACTCACAGCACGTGTTTCCTGATAAGTATGTAAGCTAAAACTGTGCATGAGAAAGTATTAGACAAACCCAAACTGAGGGACATTCTATGTAGTAACTGGCCTGTACTAGTCAAAAATGTAAAGGTCTAGATACATACACAGAAGAATGTGAGGCTATATTTACTAGTTGAAACAAGACTAAAAAGACATAACAAAAAAAAATGCAATGAGTGATCTTCAATTAAATCCTGGACTATATCCTCCCCCGCCCAAAATAGCTATAATGTTATTCTGGGGGTAATTGATGAAATTTGACTAAGAACTGCAGATTAAATAATAGTACTATATCAATATTAAATATTAGAAAATCTCCTGATATTGAAAATGCTAACTGTGCTGTGGTTATAAAGGAGAGGTCCTTGTTCTTAAGACATGTATAATCAAGTATGTAAAGGTCATAGAGTATGATATTTCTAACTTGGTCTGAAATGGCTCAGGAAAAACAATACACACACAACTTTCTTCTACCAAGCTACCCTACTGGTTGGAAAATAGAAATGAGAAAATGTCTCAGAAAATATAAAAGAATAAGTTGAAGAGATGGAGCTATGAGAGAGAAAGAGAGAGAAGGAAAATAAGAGAAAAAAGACACAATTTCTCATAGCTTCTAATGAGAGGAATGCAATGGCAAGTGATTCTAGAGATGTAAGATTTCTGCTTTTACCTTGAGAAGACAGATTTCTAAATGTGGAGAACAATCATACTTTCAGGAAGATGTTCGATATGTTGGTGAGCCCTGAATGATGGATATCTGCAGCAGATTTCCATTCTTCATCTTTGCCATTTTGGATTTATATGATTCCTATCCTTTTGTTGTTATTGAAGTGGAGTCATAGGAAGGAGACAGACTACTGTACGTTTCTAGTCATTCTTTTGTTATACTCAATTTGTGTCTGTGTGTGTGTGTGAAGAAATATATATAGTATGATATTTAATTATATATATATATACTATCAGTAAGACAGTATTTTCAGTAAGAATTATTTTATGGAAACCAGGTACAGGAGGGTTGAAATGAACTGGGTCTTTATTCATCTTATAAAGTAAAAATACTTTCTTGCTATCTTGGCTAATAAATCTTGGTCACTTGGTCTTATGTATCCATTATCATTTTTTAACACTTACTTTTTGATTATATTTTGCTTCTTCCACATTGAACTGATATTGCTTCCTTACTTTATGAAATTCTAATATCATATATTATCAAAGGATAGTAATTCCATCTCTTTTCCATGAATTTATGAATGCAAGCTAATTAATTCACAACTTTAAATTGTTGAGGTCAGTAAATAGCATGAGAGATTATAAACATCTGGATTGAAAATCCAAGACCTTTGAATCAAAGTGTTTAGTTTTTACTTGATGTAAATCTTAATAAATAAGAACGCTAGGCTATTTGCACAAGTGACATGTCTCAGAACAAATTGATGGCATATGTATGATAAACTGTTTGTATGCATAAGAGTTCCTGATATTTACTGGAATTAGGTACAGCAGATGTCACATTAACATTTGGCAAGTAAAAGCCCATATGAATGATAGTAGAGAGTAAATAGTCTACAAGATTTTAATAGAATGTGTGTACACACCAGACTTCAGAAAACTATTAAATTTTGAAATATATATACTGACATTGTACCTGGTGAATGTATTTAGAATGAATAGGCCAAAGTAAAAATCAATGATTCACGGAGGTGGTATTTTTTATCTTCTTTGTAACTCCACAAAATATGTGCTTCACCAAAAAGATAGGAATCAGCATTTCTTAAGGATTTGCAGAAAATGTTAGAAAAGTAATAGAAGAACTACACAAATGTAGAAAGACCTTCATTAAGTATCTGATATAAAAACCCACAGTACACACAAATACTCTATTCTCTTTATCACTGGAAAATTTAAAATTCCTCAGGAGTATCAACAGTGTTCTACATATGGCTAAAGTAAGTTAATGTCAACATTTGGATAACACAAAGATTTGATTAGATGCAGGGAGATAGTACTGTAGATGAAAGAATGCAGAATACAAACTAGAGAAGATAAAGGCTTTTCTTTAAATTTCAGCACTATATATTAATAATTGAGCACATTTGAACAAATCCCTTAGCTTCTCTGATATTTATTCAGTTATAAAATGGATACCTTACATGATTTTTTAAATTTTTAAACAATAAAATTACATATAGAGTGATTTTTATACAATTACAGACAAAAATTTATTAGTAATGGTCAGAGATAGGTGAAAAAGAGAAGAGAAAATAGAGGTAAATTGACTATAGAAAATTATGCTAAGATACTGTATTCTGACCTGTCTTGAAGAATGGATCTGGTTACGGGTAAAAGGTATATAAAATAGTACCAACCATTCTGTCTACTCCTCAAAGTAGCTGTGACTATAAACAGTAGTTTCCCCCTTAACTCTAGCTCATTTGCTAGAGGGAAATGAGTAAACCAATTCACTTGACAAATTACAAAGACCTATGGGCAAGGTGTAAGAAAAGTTAAACTAAACCAAGCAAATCCTTGCTTTCAGAAACATGAACTAAAAGACTTGAAGTTAGGTTAGGGGAAGGGAACTGAACTCAGCAGCAAAAACACTATTAAAATTCCATACTCCCAGCTTTGTTGGAACACAAGCAAGGTACACAATCAAAGGAAATGAGGAAGAGATTTAAAAAAAAAACAAATTTTCTCGAGGAATATCTTTGTGGCATTCTCTGTATTTCCTGAATTTGAATGTTGGCCTGCCTTGCTAGATTGGGGAAGTTCTCCTGGATAATATCCTGCAGAGTGTTTTCCAACTTGGTTCCATTGTCGTCATCACTTTCAGGTACACCAATCAGACGTAGATTTAGTCTTTTCACATACTCCCATATTTCTTGGAGGCTCTGTTCATTTCTTTTTATTCTTTTCTACTCCAAGACACATAATTGTCAGATTCACCAAAGTTGAAATGAAGGAAAAAATGTTAAGGGCAGCCAGAGAGAAAGGTCGGATTACCCACAGAGGGAAGCCTGTCAGACTAACAGCTGATCTCTCAGCAAAAACTCTACAAGCCAGAAGAGAGTGGGGGCCAATATTCAACATTCTTAAAGAAAAGAATTTTCAACCCAGAATTTCATATCCAGCCAAACTAAGCTTCATAAGTGAAGGAGAAATAAAATACTTTACAGACAAGCAAATACTGAGATATTTTGTCACCACCAGACCTGCCCTACAAGAGCTCCTGAAGGAAGCACTAAACATGGAAAGGAACAACCAGTACCAGCCACTGCAAAAACATGCCAAATTGTAAAGACCATCGAGGCTAGGAAGAAACTGCATCAACTAATGAGCAAAATAACCAGCTAACATCATAATGACAGGATTAAATTCAGACATAACAATATTAACCTTAAATGTAAATGAGCTAAATGCTCCAATTAAAAGACACAGACTGGCAAATTGGATAAAGAGTTAAGACCCAACAGTGTGCTGTATTCAGGAAACCCATCTCACGTGCAGAGACACACATAGGCTCAAAATGAAGGGATGGAGAAAGATCTACCAAGCAAATGGAAAACAAAAAAAGGCAGGGGTTGCAATCCTAGTCTCTGATAAAACAGACTTTAAACCAACAAAGAACAAAAGAGACAAAGAAGGCCATTACATAATGGTAAAGGGATCAATTCAACAAGAAGAGATAACTATCCTAAATATATATGCACCCAATACAGGAGCACCCAGATTCATAAAGCAAGTCCTTAGAGACCAACAAAGAGACTTAGACTCCCACACGATAATAATGGGAGACTTTAACACCCCACTGTCAGCATTAGACAGATCAACGAGACAGAAAGTTAACAAGGATATCCAGGAACTGAACTCAGCTCTGCACCAAGTGGACCTAATAGACATCTACAGAACTCTCCACCCCAAATCAACAGAATATACATTCTTCTCAGCACCACACCACACCTCTTCCAAAATTGACCACATGGTTGGAAGGAAAGCACTCCTCAGCAAATGTAAAAGAACAGAAATTATAACAAACTATCTCTCAGACCACAGTGCAATCAAACTAGAACTCAGGATTAAGAAACTCGCTCAAAACCACTCAACTACATGGAAACTGAACAACCTGCTCCTGAATGACTGCTGGGTACTAACAAAATGAAGGCAGAAATAAAGATGTTCTTTGAAACCAATGAGAACAAAGACACAACATACCAGAGTCTCTGGGACACATTCAAAGGAGTGTGTAGAGGGAAATTTATAGCACTAAATGCCCACAAGAGAAAGCAGGAAACATCCAAAATTGACACCCTAACATCACAATTAAAAGAACTAGAAAAGCACGAGCAAACACATTCAAAAGCTAACAGAAGGCAAGAAATAACTAAGATCAGAGCAGAACTGAAGGAAATAGAGACACAAAAAACCCTTCAAAAAATCAATGAATCCAGGAGCTGGTTTTCGGAAAAGATCAACAAAATTGATAGACCGCTAGCAAGACTAATAAAGAAGAAAAGAGAGAAGAATCAAATAGATGCAATAAAAAATGATAAAGGGGATATCACCACCAGTCCCACAGAAATACAAATTACCATCAGAGAATACTATAAACACCTCTATGCAAATAAACTAGAAAATCTAGAAGAAATGGATAAATTCCTTGACAAATACACCCTCCCAAGACTAAACCAGGAAGAAGCTGAATCTCTGAATAGACCAATAACAGGCTCTGAAATTGAGGCAAGAATTAATAGCTTACCAAACAAAAAAAGTCCAGGACCAAGTGGATTCACAGCCGAATTCCACCAGAGGTACAAGGAGGAGCTGGTACCATTCCTTCTGAAACTATTCCAATCAATAGAAAAAGAGGGAATCCTTCCTAACTCATTTTATGAGGCCAGCATCATCCTGATACCAAAGCTAGGCAGAGACACAACAAAAAAACAGAATTTTAGACCAATATCGCTGATAAACATTGATGCAAAAATCCTCAATGAAATACTGGCAAACCGAATCCAGCAGCACATCAAAAAGCTTATCCACCATGATCAAGCGGGCTTTATCCCTGGGATGCAAGGCTGCTTCAACATACGCAAATCAATAAATGTAATCCAGCATATAAACTGAATCAATGACAAAAACCACATGATTATCTCAATAGATGCAGAAAAGGCCTTTGACAAAATTCAACAGCCCTTCATGCTAAAAACTCTCAATAAATTAGGTATTGAGGGGTCGCATCTCAAAATAATAAGAGCTATCTATGACAAACCCACAGCCAATATCATACTGAATGGGCAAAAACTGGAAGCATTCCCTTTGAAAACTGGCACAAGACAGGGATGCCCTCTCTCACCACTCCTCTTCAACATAGTGTTGGAAGTTCTGGCCAGGGCAATCAGGCAGGAGAAGGAAATAAAGGGTCTTCAATTAGGAAAAGAGGAGGTCAAATTTTCCCTGTTTGCAGAAGACATGATTGTATGTCTAGAAAACCCCATCATCTCAGCCCAAAATCTCCTTAAGCTAATAGGCAACTTCAGCAAAGTCTCAGGATATAAAATCAATGTGCAAAAATCACAAGCATTCTTATACACTAATAACAGAGAGCCAAATCATGAGTGAACTCCCATTCACAATTGTTTCAAAGAGAATAAAAGACCTAGGAATCCAACTTACAAGGGACGTGAAGGACCTCTTCAAGGAGAACTACAAACCACTGCTCAATGAAATAAAAGAGGATACAAACCAATGGAAGAACATTGCATGCTCATGGATAGGAAGAATCGATATCGTGAAGATGGCCATACTGCCCAAGGTAATTTATAGATTCAATGCCATCCCCATCAAGCTACCAATGACTTTCTTCACAGATTTGGAAAAAAACTACTTTAAAGTTCATATGGAACCAAAAAAGAGCCCACAAATTGCCAAATCAATCCTAAGCCAAAAGAACAAAGCTGGAGGCAACACGCTACCTGACTTCAAAGAATACTACAAGGCTACAGTAACCAAAACAGCATGGTACTGGTACCAAAACAGAGATATAGATCAATGGAACAGAACAGAGCCCTCAGAAATAATCCCACATATCTACAACTATCTGATCTTTGACAAACCTGACAAAAACAAGAAATGGGGAAAGGATTCCCTATTTAATAAATGGTGCTGGGAGAACTGGCTAGCCATATGTAGAAAGCTGAAACTGGATCCCTTCCTTACACCTTATACAAAAATTAATTCAAGATGAATTAAAGACTTAAATGTTGGACCTAAAACCATAAAAACCCTAAAAGAAAACCTAGGCAATACCATTCAGGACATAGGCATGGGCAAGGACTTCATATCTAAAACACCAAAAGCAATGGCAACAAAAGCCAAAATTGACAAATGGGATCTAATTAAACTAAAGAGCTTCTGCACAGCAAAAGAAACTACCATCAGAGTGAACAGGCAGCCTACAGAATAGGAGAAAATTTTTGCAATCTACTCATCTGACAAAGGGCTGATATCCAGAATCTACAATGAACTCCAACAAATTTACAAGAAAAAAACACCCCCATCGAAAAGTGGGCAAAGGATATGAACAGACACTTCTCAAAAGAAGACATTTATGCAGCCAACAGACACATGAAAAAATGCTCACCATCACTGGCCATCAGAGAAATGCAAATCAAAACCACAATGAGATACCATCTCACACCAGTTAGAATGGCAATCATTAAAAAGTCAGGAAACAACAGGTGCTGGAGAGGATGTGGAGAAATAGAAACGCTTTTACACTGTTGGTGGGACTGTAAACTAGTTCAACCATTGTGGAAGTCTGTGTGGCAATTCCTCAGGGATCTAGAACTAGAAATACCATTTGACCCAGCCATCCCATTTCTGGATATATACCCAGAGGATTATAAAACATGCTGCTATAAAGACACATGCACACATATGTTTATGGCGACACTATTCACAATAGCAAAGACTTGGAACCAACCCAAATGTCCAACAACGATAGACTGGATTAAGAAAATGTGGCACATATACACCATGGAATACTATGCAGCCATAAAAAAATGATGAGTTCATGTCCTTTGCAGGCAGGGACATGTCCTTTGTAGGATGAAGCTGGAAACCATCATTCTCAGCAAACTATCACAAGGACAAAAAACCAAACACCACATGTTCTCACTCATAGGTGGGAATTGAACAATGAGAACACATGGACACAGAAAGGGGAACATCACACACCAGGGCCTGTTGTGGGGTGGGGAGAGGGGGGAGGGATAGCATTAGGAGATATACCTAATGTTAAATGACGAGTTAATGGGTGCAGCACACCAACATGGTACATGTATACATATGTAACAAACCTGCACATTGTGCACATGTACCCTAAAACTTAAAGTATAATAATAAAAAAAACTTTTTTTTAAAAGATAACTTATAGAATATATGAGAGAAATAAATCATATACATTGCTGGTGGAAATGTAAAATGACAGAACATTTTGAAAAGCTGGCAATGGTTGCTATAATTAGAACATTTGCTTTTCCTATGAGGCAGTAATTTCACTGTTGGTATATACATAAAAGAAATAAGTGTATCTGGCCACCGAGAAACATGTATGAGGATGTTCATAGAAGCTTTATTCAAAGCAGGCAGGGCTGGATGCCCATCAAGTGGAGAATGCATAAAGTGTGATGTATTCATACAGTGAAATACTACACAGAAATAAAAAGAGAAGAAGTTACTACTACACATGAAAACATGAGTAAATTTTATAGATAATCTATTCTTTGAAAAAAATCTTATAGATACTGTGTTCCATGAAGGTACACGAGTGCACCTTCAGCATGATTCTATTTGTATTAACTTCAAAAATCAACAAAATTAATCAGTGATTAGAAAAGCAAAGAACAAGGGTATAGTCTTGGGAGAAACACAATGATATCAAATGAATTGTTGAAACTATTCTATATATGCTCTAGGGAGTGGTTACACAGATATAAATATTTGTTTTAAATTATCCTTATTATCATTCAAGATTAGTATCATTTACGTGTCAATTAAAAAGAGAAAGCTCTGTTTTCCATAATGGCAAATAAATAATTTGTTCCAACCTTCCCTTTGATAATAACAAGAAAACTGGGAAAAATATGAAACAACACCTATAGGAAAGTATAGGAAAGCTGACAAACCACTGTCGAGTTCAGAGACCAAGATCCAAGGGAAGCAAAAGGGAAACTAACACACGTGATCCTATCCTTGGGACGGTTTTTGCCCTAGATGTACCTGTCTATTCAGGTATAGGCTACTGTCTGCTGCAGAAAGTCTTCTGGAGACCACCGAAAGTGTGAGATCCTAAACAGAGTTCTAACAGGTAAGTTGACAAATATTGGAATTCAGAATTTAAATATCAAAGGGATACATGTTAGAAACAGACTGCTCTTGTGAAACTGTGGATTTTGAGGTCCAAAAATGGAGAGAGAAAAAAATGAGAATCAAAATATAAAAATATAATAACCAAGCACTTTCCAAAACTGATTAACTGTATGAAGCTACAATTTTCAAGGAGCACTGTGAAGTAAAAGAGAAATGTTAAAAGCAGCCAGAGTGACAATGGAAGTGAGAAATTAGAATGACATCTTTAATGTGTTGGAAAAAAATAGCTTCCAATGTACTAACACATCCCTTTAAAGCAAAATCAAAATAAGATATTTTTTCAGGCAAACAGAAACTGAGATTTATTTGTCACCAACAGACTTGCTATAAAGAAACATAAAAGATATATTTTAAAGTCAGAAGATCAATGGTTCTAGAGGAAAGTTTGGAGATACAAAAAAGAACATAAAGCAGCAATAAAGGTAAATACATGGTATATATTAATAAATATATAATTAAAAGTGACAGAACATTCTTGTGTTGAAATACATATATGTGTATGACTAAAATATTTGACAATATATAATGAAATATAACAATAGCACAGATGTCTGAAGAGAAACAAAGTTAAAATGTTCTGAGGTTCTTGCCCTGTTCAGAAGAGGTATTAATAGATGTTAAACTTTGAAAAATCAAAGCTGCATTTTGTTATCTATAGAGTAGTATCCTAAAAATGTACAGTTAAAAAGTGTATGACTACCAAGCTACAATAGGGAAAATATTAACAATAGGTTAAGAAATACATACATAATTAACACACATTAAACAAGAGACTACAATGAAAATTTTAAATTATTTTGAAATACATGAAAATAAAAATGCTACAAATGAATCTTCTAGGATGTAGCTAAAGTTGTGCTTAAATGAAGATTTTATAGTTTTCAGTTCATATATTACAAAACAGTGAAGCCTTAAAATCATTTAGATAATAATCTAAGTATCAGTAGCAGTTACAAAAAGAATAATATAAGTAGAAAATAAAAATCGTAAACATCAGAGCAAAAATCATTGAAAGCAAAAATTAAAAAGGGGATAAAGCAACCCAAAATTTGTTTCATGGAAAGTACTAATAGAAATGATAAACCTCTATTGAAACTAATTGAGAAAATAGGAAGAAGGAATAAATAACCAATAACAGATAAACAATAGGATCTAAAATATATAAAAAAATAATAAGGGCATATTATTAAAAAGTAGAGGTTAAATTTCAAAATATAAACAAAATGAATAAAATTTATCTGTAAAAAGACTAATTAAAACTGAAGTAAGAAAAATTAGAAAATGTGAAATTACCTACATTTATGGAAGAAAATGATGCCATAATTTAAAATCTCCAGGGCAAGATTTCAACAATGAATTCTGCCAAATATTTAAAAAAGAAAGAAAATCAATTTTAGACAACATTTTATAGAGAAAAAATACAAGAAAACATGTTTTAAATTGTTTTATGAAGAAAGAATCTCATAAAATTTTTTTAAAAACCAAGAAAATTCCCAGCCAATCGTTGTCAACACTAGAAATAAATTGAATTCAGCTGTGTGTAGAGCGTATAATATATCATGAACAAGCTTGAATTTACATCGGGGTACATTTATTGAATACTTTTGAAATGCTAAACATAATTTATCACATTAACAGTAAAAAAAATCGTGATACAATTGCTAGAAAATATATTTGGTAAAATTTATTAACATTTCTCACCATACTAGGAATAGAAGAAATATCCTATAATTTAACACATAGCTTATTTTTAAAAATCTGCAACATGATCGATGCTTCCCAGTGAAATATGAGCAAGCATTTTATCTGAGACTGGGGATAAGTTAGACATACCTACTAAGTTCACTTTGTTTAACACTGTACCAGCAGTCCTACCAATAAAATAAGGCAAGGAAAATAAATCAATTGAATAAAGATTGGAACAAAAGAGATTAAAGGGTCATTGTAGGTTTCCTGGTTTTATGTAGATATAAAACAATCTATAAAAACTATTAGAATTGATAAGTGAACTTAATAAGATTGCTGATTACAATATACAAAAATCAATTGTATTTTTATAAAAGAAAAACAAATGATTAAAATCGCACTTTTTAAAAATACCATGTATAGCAGCACTTCAGATAGCCAGGAATAAATCTAATAAATAATGCAATGTCCTCAAGTCTTCACAGAAAATATAAAAAGCTACTGAGAAAAATTAAAGATATAATAATAGAATAAATGAGAGTATTTATAGTGTTCTAAAATTTAAATACTAAATGTTATAAAGATGGCAACTCTCACCAAACAATCTACAAATTTAATGCAGTCATCATCAATGTCTCATCAGTTTTTTAAATCTAAATTGATAATTTAATTCTAAAATATATGTGGTTGTATATAAAGCCAATAATTACTAAAACAGTGACTAAGAACAAAGATGGAGGACTTACTATGCTGTGAAAGGTAAATAAACAAAACTTGTAAAAATAAAATACGGGACTATCTTGTTATCTCTGTGTTAGAGAAAGATTTTTTAAACATTACCCAATAACACAAACCATAAATGAAATGATTATTCTATTAGTCATCAAAACATAAGGAATTTCTGTTAATTAAAAGACAGCATTGAGGATGTGAGAAGGAAAGCCATATCATAACATGGGAGAAGGTATTTGAAACACATATAATCAACCAAAGGCTTATAGGCAGTATTTGTAATAGTTATAAATTAATAAGAAAAATATAAACTAATCATGTTAAAATAAAAAAATCACTTAAACTCACTTCACTATAAGCCCCAAAGATCAATAATCATGTATAAAAAGATATTTAATATCATTAACCATCATGGAAAAGCTAATTAAAACTACATTGTGATACCACCAAGTATCTGCCAGAATGTAACTCTGCCTTCTCCAGCAAAGTCCCATGGAGAAGTACCATCTTGGCACTCTGGGAAAATGTAGCCAGTAAAATCCTGTATTTACATTGGGTTTGTTCTTGGATGTTTTCTTCTGTAAATGTTGAGGATGATTATGGGACATTTTGAATCTTACATCTAAACCAAATTGGTCTAAAGGGAGTTACGGGAATCAGATTGAAATTGGATAATAAAGTGAGGAGAAATAAGCACTCTAAAAAAAAAAAAAAAAAAAGGATCAGGAAATGGCCTGGCTCAATCAGACATTTTAGCAATGCCTGTGAGAGAAGTTTCCAGAACGAACTAAATTCTTCTGACTCCAGGAAATAAAAATGAAATTAACCACATTGGAGCAAGGGAAATTGGGGAACCATAGTTGTTTTTCAAGGCATTTGGTCTCAGAATAGTTTTGCAGTGGATTTCCACCTTAAGGGAAAAGTGGTTCTCCTTGAAAGAATGAAGTAAAGGGGTGAGTAGCGAAAGTTCTAACGTCACTGCATAGGCTGGTGTACTCTTGCCTTTGAACTTGAGAGAGATTGCTGAGGTTTGTGCTGTCCAGCCAGAGTTCGATCCAATCAAAACTCAGGTGCTGAAGAAAATATGAAAAATAAGTTTTAACTACATTTTCTGACCACATTAAAATATTTAGTTGCCAATTAAATCCATAACATTTTCTGAAGTTTCTGGCAGAGAAAGAGTAGGAAATAATTCTGTGGAATGATTAGAAGCAACTAAGATTCTTGAGATAGGTGTAAGTCTTTTTTTTTTAAATTTTATTATAATTTAAGTTTTAGGGTACATGTGCACAATGTGCAGGTTTGTTACATATGTATACATGTGCCATGTTGGTGTGCAGCACCCATCAACTCGTCATTTAGCATTAGGTATATCTCCTAATGCTATCCCTCCCCCCTTCCCCCACCCCACAAGAGTCCCCGGAGTGTGATGTTCCCCTTCCTGTGTCCATGTGTTCTCATTGTTCAATTCCCACCTATGAGTGAGAACATGTGGTGTTTGGTTTTTTGTCCTTGCGATAGTTTGCTAAGAATGATGGTTTCCAGTTTCATCCCTGTCCCTACAAAGGACATGAACTCATCCTTTTTTATGGCTGCATAGTATTCCATGGTGTATATGTGCCACCTTTTCTTAATCCAGTCTATCATTGTTGGACATTTGGGTTGGTTCCAAGTCTTTGCTATTGTGAATAGTGCCGCAATAAACATACATGTGCATGTGTCTTTATAGCAGCATGATTTATAATCCTTTGGGTATATACCCAGTAATGGGATGGCTGGGTCAAATGGTATTTCTAGTTCTAGATCCCTGAGGAATCGCCACACCGACTTCCACTATGGTTGAACTAGTTTACAGTCCCACCAACAGTGTAAAAGTGTTCCTATTTCTCCACATCCTCTCCAGCACAACAGGTGTAAGTCTTAAGAGTACCTGAACTGTATTCCTACGAATATGCTAAGCATAAGGTTTTGTATATAATTTCTATTACCTGGGAAAAAATTTACTTCAGCAGAAAAAGAACTTTTGGGTAAATCTGGGGAAAATTTAATGGATCAGCCAAAGAATGCCCATACTGATATTTAAATTTATGATTGATTGCTTTCATTTTTAATGTGTTATTTCCTTTCTCGATGTGTGGTAATTTAGATGTAATTTGTTTCCAAATGTTTTGTATAGATGTTTCTGTACTTATGACCACGTGTTTCCTGGCCACAATTGGAAATGCTATGATGAATTATTTTTTGCAACTGCTTTGAGTGACAAATTTTTGCGTTTTAAGTGTGAATCACTCATTACCTATATTACATATTACAGTGCATAGAAAAATCCTAAATACTGTCAAAAGAATGTAGACTTCACTTATCTTAAATCCTCCAACCCAAGACACTGTCTCTTTTTCACATAGTACTCAACAAACTAGAGCCTTCAGGGAAAGGGAGGCTAATAATCTCTACTTTATTTCTACAAAACAAAAATTCCTCAACTACACTATTTAAGAACATAATGTCTGTTAGAAAATTCCTTGCCCTCAGTAAAATGCCCTTAGTAAATCTTAGGATTTAATCTCTAAGAGAGGTTTTCAAAGTAGAGTGCATTTTAGAATTCCTCACTGTAAAAGTATTTTTTTTTCAGGTTTACCAAACCAGCTAATGAAATAGCAGAAAACTTAACTCCCTAGGAAGGATAAATTTTACCATACAGCTATGGCAAAATTTCAATTGTATGTATCAAATTGTCTTTTGTGACTCAGCATGAGAAATACTAATACATTTTGTTATGTATTCACATCTTTATACACATCGCAGCTCATTAAAGGATGTAAAACTGTATCTAAGATTAAAAAATAATGATATGAATTTAGAAAAAGTTAAAGAAAGATAATTAGGGGAGGTTCAATATATAAATGGTAAGAACTATACACTTGCTATAATAAATTTGGACCTATTTATTTACTCTGAATAAAAATTGACATAATTGCTAAAAAGAAGACTGGATAGTATAATGAAACAGAGACATTATGCAATGAAGTCAGAGAACAGATATTGAACAGGCTTAATATATTTTAATTAAGATATATTTTTCGACTCAGTGATTTATTCACTTTGTCTTCATATGGATGGGAATAAAATTTTATTCTTGAGAAATCATCTACTAGGTGAAGTTTTTGCTAGCACACATGATGATAGTAAACTATACTACCAAGGCGAACTCCAATTATATATCTTTTCATGTGATACATGCAAGATAAAGAAAATGTTAGCTAGGAAAGCATTTGGCACATGCTAGGCATAAAGTAACTTTTATTTCTATAAAGGGAAAATTGCTGTGAAATGATTAGTTTAATTGCTATAAAGGGGGTTACATGTTTTAGAGTGAACTACCTTTTTCTTTGTCTGATGATGGATGAACACAATACATTATGTAAAACTGAAATGTGGTATTGAATATTTGATTCAACCAGCTGTTTGAAAAACTCCTACAATGACAGAGAAGAATGATAAAGCTATTTGCATTTGCTTATGGCTTTCTGCCTTTCTTTGTACAAATTACTGTATTTCACAAAAGATTTCTATGAATTAATTCTAGAGATGTTGAGAGATAAATAGAAAGTAAAGAAAATTCAGTACTGAGCAGAGGCTATGTCAAGTAGTAGGTAAAATTGTGTCCTGCAGTTGCAGATATTTATGCTTAATAATCAACAACCCAAAACTTCGTGCTTAAAGCAATAAGAATTATCTATTTTGCTCACAAATTTGCAATTGAAGTGTGACCCATTGAGGATGATTCACTTCTGTTCTGTACCATTTCTTGGACCACAGCTGGAATAATTTGAATGGCTGGGCACTAGAACATCTAGGAGCTGGGAAAACATGCAGTCTCAGGGCCTCTTCATTTGATCTTTCCAGTGGTCCTTCCATTATGGCAGCCGCATGTGTTATTATATGATGGTAGAGACAAGAGCTAGTGTCATAAGATGCCTCATAGGAAATTGCAAATCTTCTAATGACTTAGCTTCAGGTGTCCTAGAACATCATCTCCACCTCAGTCCATGGTTAAGCTGCTATGAGCAGCTCATATTCAAGGGCAGAGATATTAGACTCCACCTCTCAATGGGAAAAGTTGCAAAGAATTTTTAGCAGTCCTTAACTTACCATATCTCCAATGGGTTATTTGTACAGTATCTAGTGTCTCATTTTTTGGCAATTGCTGCACTCATTCCTCCAATGTTACGTCCCATTTCAAATGTCTTTAACGTAACATATTCTCAATACCCTTTCATATAACAATATTCTCCTGGCTACAGTTATTTAGACTAGAAATGGACCTGTGACCCTAGCTAGACCAATTAGAGATTTTTCCCTGGAAATGTAAAAATTTTTAAATAAACATACAAAGGTTAATCTCTCTCAAAAAGGCTTCAATCTCTTAAGTGATTAACAAAGAATCAGCATCTGAGTACTTCTTCCTAGTAACTTCCTGGGCCTTCATCATTATCTTTGGATTCTGTGAGACATAAAGCAATCTTTATAATAAAATGTACTTAGTAACTTAAAGCTAATTTTAATGGATTTCTGTTTCTTTAAAAAGTGCCGTACCTAACAAAATATCTATATAGAAAAAAAAAAAACAGCTATTGATAAGACTGAAGTAAAATTGAAAAGTCAGTCAATGGACATACCTAGAAGTCCAGATAAATTTATTTGTGCAAATTGAGCAAGCTGGTGTTTTTGTTACCTCCAAATACTCATGCTACCTTTTGACAACTACAAGTTGATACTTTGGTTCCAAGTATTTTAAGGAATGAACTTTTTGCTCTTATGTCTTGATTTCACGTTTTTTATACTCTTAGCCATGGAATTGAAATAGGAAAAGTTCCCTAACCCCCATTACAGGGCGTGCAATGGGGGTGTGGCTCGCTTCTTCAGTGCCCCATTGCTCAAACCTCTAGGGGGAGCAGGCAGGCAGGCAGGCTGTGGGGCTTCAACCCCATGGCAGGTTCTAGGGGTGAATGTTTTTTTATGTGGGGACCTCACCTAGGTCCCTCGGCACGGGCCCGGGATGGAGCCCTAGCCAGGGACCACTCCCTCCCCTTCCCAGCACTTCCCTGCCCGCCTTCTATATCAGAAACAATATGATGTTTTGCTATAGGTGGTAGCAGTCTTGAACCCAGAGATGATAAAGATGATTGAGCATGCAATGTCCTGATGCTGTTAAATAAGACTTGCAAAAGTTCGTTTCAGTTTGGGATGATAGAGATCTGTTAGAAGTCTGATGTGAGGAAAAGGAGAAGGTATAACTGATTTGGAAGCAACGATGAAAACAAAGAAACAAAAAGGAAAAGCGCAAAATACAACCAATGGGAATAAGCATAAAAGAATATTCACTGTATGTGTATTGTAATGAGTATCTTGCCATTAGCTCTTATTAAGAATGTTTACAAGAATTTAAAGAGAACATAAACTTTTCAGGATACATGTTTTACCGATGTTCTAGGTAGAAAATAGATATTTCCAAGTGACCTGGTCCCTCCATATTAGAAAATAGAAGGCCAGGCGTGGTGGCTCACGTGTGTAATCCCTGCACTTTGGGAGGCTGAGGCGGGTGGATCACCTGAAGTCAGGAGTTCGAGACCAGCTTGACCAACATGGTGAAACCCTGTCTCTACTGAAAATAGAAAAATCAGCTGGACCTGGTGGCACGCGCCTGTGATCCCAGCTACTCAGGAGGCTGAGACAGGAGAATCCCTTGAATCTGGCTGTCGGAGGTTGCAGTGAGCTGAGATTTTGCCATTGCACTCCAGCCTGGGCAACAGAGTGAGACTCTGTCTCAAAAAAAAAAAAAAAAAAAAAAAAAAAAAAGAATAGAAAGACCTCTTCAACCTAAACATCTAATAGATCATAGATAGACATCAGACTAAAAATACTTCATGGCAACAGTAGCATGTGGTTCAATGTCTGGCAGTATATTTCCACCTGCTCATCGTGGAAGTAACAAACAGAAGATCATATCAGGCAAGGAGTTAAGAGGTGAAAGCAATAATAATTTTTAAAAAATGTTTGACATCAAGACCTTGGTATGGGAGGAAGATAATTTCAGTAGAATCCAGATCTATCACAAACATACTCTTTTCTAGCATAAGTGTTCTCAAAATGTTAACTCTCTTCTAGAATTCTTATGGCTATATTGATTTTTAAAAGCCACTTGAAAGCACAAATGACATGAGTAAAATATTTTTTAATTTCTTTATGTCCTTCACTTTTAAAACTACCGAATCAGAATCCCTTGAGAGGAATATTTTAACAGTAAACTAGGGAAAGTGTAACCTAAATATCACAAGAAAAAAAGCAATATGGAAGCTAAGAGATAACTTTTTTGATAAATTATGGAGGCTGTACTTTGTTTTATTATATTCAGACTTACAAATTAAAATCTCAGGTTATATTTCTCATGTTCACCTTTTCTATATATCCAGGAGGACTATCTGGCATTTCCTTTCATTTTGTCTCATTAATAGTAATGAGTCACTGTGAAAGAATTGGATTTTGAATTACCTATTACTGCTAATGGTAACACTGAGGGAGGGCATTTTCCACATCTAATGATGTCAGCTTGTTTGGTTTTTGAAAGACACCATATTCAGTGTTCACACAGAAAAAACATCTTTTAAAAATAATTTTATCAGGTTAATGTGAATATTTCTTCCACAGTAAATTATTGGATTTCTCCCAGTCCCCAAATCAGAATTAACTGCTATATGCCCTATAGTATTTTGGTCATAGTTCTCGGGGGGAACCTTTTGTTCTTAATTATAGTTTCTCAAGATCATTAATACCTCATCTACTAGATTGTAAACCACTTAAAGGAATAAAAAGTCTTATTTATCTTTGTCTAACATAATGCAGTAAGTACACAAGATAAATATTTTTGGCCAGGTGTGGTGGTTCATACCTGTAGTCCCAGCACTTTGAAAGGCTGAGGCAGGAAGATTGTTTGAGCCCAGGACTTTGACAACAGGCTGAGCAACATGGTGAAACCTGTCTCTACCAAAAATTTTTTTAAAAGCCCGTCATGGTGGCATGTATCTGTGGCCCCAGCTACTTGGGAGGCTGAGGTTGGAGGATCACCTGAGCCCAGATAGTTGAGGTTGAAGTGAGCAGTGATTGCATCTCTGTACTCCAGCTTGTGTAAGAGAGTGACACCCTGTCTCAAAAAAAATGAACAAATGTAAAATCATCTTAATAAAAGTTATGTAGTATTTACTACTCTCTGCGAAGAAAAATGCAGTAATCTATAGAGTTTGTTACCATCTGACATATGTACATATATTTAGTACACTATGGAATTGGGAGAAGATACTAGCCCTCAAAGACATATAAGAGTTATTTCACACTGTAATATTAAATATCAAATGATGAATCTGGTTTTTCCTAAGCAAATGTGAATCAAACCACCTAGAGAAGATAACGAAAACATTAAACATAATGATGTTGAGAAATAAGAGCGTATGGAATAAAGTCATGGGTAATTGCTTTAGACTGGGAGCTTTGCAGTCTTTTTAAACTAAAAATTAGCAAACGAGTACCCATGCGAGAAAACTTTGTAATCATGGGATACCTTCTAGAGGGCCTAGAGCACGTGAATAAATCAAACACCGAGATTGAAACAATGTGATCATAATTCACCACAGAATCCATAAATCTAACTTAGCAAGTTGGGGCTAGAAAATGAAAAGGGGGAAAAGCACCATGATACATGTGGGTGAGAATATAACCTCCATTGCCTCTTAGGATGTCCCCAGATAATAAGGGCCTTCAAAAAGCAAAAACAAAAAATACTCTCTTGCTCTCTTAATATACATTATTGTGATTATGGATAATTTCAGTGGGAAAAAAATCCCAAAACATGACCTAAAGGTTCTAGTCATTTTCTACTGGTGCATATAGATAAAAAATCAAGGACAATAGCTAATCAAGATGACATGAATTTCTTGTCTGTAGTATATCTGGATATGGTAAGCCTGGAGTGGAGCCTTGTGTTAACATTTCCCAGTAGTTTTTAGAGCAAATTAGCAATAATATCCTTAGTAATTAACCCAGTTAAGGAATGATTATTCAAGTTTGGAGATGAAATCTCTCTCAGTGCATAAAATTTGAAAAATCTATTTTTTTACACAATTAATATTAGTTAGATGATTTTGCAATGCATTTGTACTTGTAGTTGATGAATGAGGTTGATGAATAAGAATATCTGACAATATTTCCATTTCCATTTTATTTCTGAAGGAAATTTTCACTGGATATAAAGTTTGTGGTTAACAGTTCTTACCACCCCACCCCAACCCTCAGTATTCAAAAATGTCATTCCATTTGTTTCTGATCTCAATAGATCTCAGTGAGAAGTGAGTTGATGAATAAGAATATGGAAGTAAGGTTGTCCCATGGGAATGAAATATAAAATCAAAACAATCAGAGGACAACTGTGCAAGGTGTACCTCAAGAATGACACTAAAGCCAGCTAAACATAGTAGCAATTTCACTTCAAGATTTATGCTGGAAGGTCAATGGATGTTAACATTGAAAACATAAATAAGGAAGGGTTATAGAGACAAACTTCAAAATTGCCCATCAATAATTCTTCCAAATTTCTGTGCAAACATCCTGAGCAACTTTCAGATTCATTATAATTATGAGATGGACATATGTGGATATCATGTCTGATGTCATTAAACTTAACATACCAAATAGCCAGATTTGACCTGAAAACATGTTATATTTGGTATGTACAGTTTACAAAAATGGATTTTTCATATAAACCTGAGTTTTAGATTTATTTTTGAAATAAGACCTGGCAACACTGGTACAGCATTTCTGCATGATATGTCACCAGTCTTAGGAGTATCTGCAGAGTGGCTGACTCCTTTAGATGGGTCATACACCCTACAGTTTGCCAGCCCCCAGCATTCATACATAAGGCCACTTTCATTAATTCACATTGTCTGCTTGGCCCAGTGAACATTGAATTTCAAATCCTTTAAACCAATCTAAAACTTAGGAGGCTTTTGTATCAGCAAATATTTCATTTTAAGTATTGATAATTCAGGTCCATACTGAATAGCCATTGTCAATAATATTTCTGTGGACCGGTAAGTAATTTATGAGAATGTTGTGTGTTCAAACATAGGCTCACTTAAATGCAAAGTTTAATCTTTATGATAACTTAAGGATGTTGAAAGTGTTAAATAGTTGACAAACAATAATTCTAAGTAATTTCTCTTTCAGTAACTTCCTACTTTGTATATCATGGTCTTTCACTGTAATAGATGTGTTTAACAAGTAAAGAAGTTACGTGTCAAGAGAAACGATTTTTTTGTTTTCTTTAAAATCAGAACAGATTTTTATAGACAATCCCATGAAAAGTTGATTTTGATTAAATAGGCTTTGAAAGCCTTCAAAAAAGACATCATCCATAATGGAGATTTATTAGGAAATGTCTCAATTTATTGAAAAAAGTTAAGACTAAATAGTGAAGGAAATAGTATCATAATGTAGTGAATAGGGACTAAATCATCACTTTGTTTCTCTTTTCATAATAAAGTCTGTCTTAGTCAGCTCAGGGTACTAAAACAAAATATCATAGACTGGATGCCTTAAACAACATACCTTTATTTTTCACAGTTCTACAGGCTTAGAAGTCCAAGTTAAAGGTGCCAGCAGATTCAATCCTTGGTGAGGGCCCTCCTCCTGGCTTACAGACAGCTGCCCTCTCATTGTATTCTCACGTGGCAGAAAGAGGAAACTCTAATGTCTCTTCATCTTCTTATAAGGTCACTAGTCACTCTCGTAACCTTAATAAACGTAATCACCTTTCAAAGGGCCCACCTCCTAATATTACCACACTGGGGCTTAGGGTTTCAACTTAAGAATTTTTTTTTTTTTTTTTTTTTTTTGAGACGGAGTCTCGCTCTGTCACCCAGGCTGGAGTGCAGTGGCGTGATCTCGGCTCACTGCAAGCTCCGCCTCCGGGTTCACGCCATTCTCCTGCCTCAGCATCCCGAGTAGCTGGGACTACAGGCGTCAGCCACCACGCCCGGCTAATTTTTTGTATTTTTAGTAGAGATGGGGTTTCACCGTGTTAGCCAGGATGGTCTCGATCTCATGACCTCATGATCCGCCGGCCTCGGCCTCCCAAAGTGCTGGGATTACAGGCTTGAGCCACCGCGCCCGGCCAATAATTCTGATTCTTAGTCCTCATAATATAATCACTTATTTGCAGGAAAGGCTCTTTATAGACTTTGCCACTTTTATTATTTTTTTTTTACATAGGTAGAAGTGAGGTGAAAATGTAGATTGAGTTTTATGGCAACTATATTCAGCTATCAACCAATTCATTAAAGTGGCTCAGCAAGTTGAACCACATCATTCTGCCATTAAACACACATATATTATGTTCTTTCAATTCTACGGTGGAGCTAAGGTCTAAATTCTCATATAGATTATATCTAATAGCTCTAAAGATTCATACTACCTTGGATTCCAAAACTGACAGAAGTAAACATACAGTTCTATCCCGTATATCACAGTTTTGTCTTAGAAGAATGGCTAAAAGTGTAACAGAACAAAATGTGACCACATAAATATATCAGCAATTCTAAAAGAAACTCATGTGCATCATAACTTGAATCTAAAAGGTTCATTCAATTTATATCTGAAATATTTCTGTTAGAAATTATTATTAAAGATAGCTTTCTAGGGAAAATAGTTTGATCTCATAAGGTATTAACTAGCTTATTTTTAAGTTTCTATTTAAAATGATACCACATAGTATTTAACTATGATCAATCTTCAAGCATACTCCACAGTTGATATATTCCATCATTTGAAACCTCATCCAATATCTATTGCTGAGTAAGCCAATCATGCAGCTCAATTCTCGCAACCACCTTCCATAGAATTTTGCCGTGTTCAAGGGAGCCGCCATGTTGTATAACACATTACCCTGCTGCCTTGGCTTGAATGATTCCACCTGGGGGAAGGCACCTGGCTCAAGAGTCACCAATCTATATAGCTTGAACAAAATTCAACAGCAAGTGAGGTGACCTAGAACAAGATCATTTCCCAAAAAAAAGCTGATGATGCTAAAATTGTCCAATAGGATTATCTTCCTGGAATGTGAACATAAAATAGAAATAGAGCCAGAGAACTACTAGCTAATGAAAAATAGAAAAGATACATAGGCCGGACACAGTGGCTCACGCCTGTAATCCCAGCACTTTGGGAGGCCGAGGCAGGCGGATCACCTGAGATCGGGAGTTCGCCACCAGCCCTTCCAACATGGTGAAACCCCGTCTATACTAAACATACAGAAAATTAGCTGGGCATGGCGGCGCGCGCCTGTAGTCCCGGCTAGTTGCGGTGCTGAGACAGGAGAATAGCTTGAATCCAGGAGGCAGAGGTTGCAGTGAGCCGAGATTGCGGCCACTGCACTCCAGCCTGGGCGACAGAATGAGACTCCATCTCAAAAAAAAAAAAAAAAGAAAAGAAAAGGAAGGGTACATAGAGGCTGTGAAACAAGGCCCATGGGGCCATACAAGAGTAGTTTTTGTTTTTGTTTTGAGACAGAGTCTCTCTCTGTCACCAGGCTGGAGTGCAGAGGTGCAATCTCAGCTCACTGCAACCTCCTCCTCCCGGGTTCAAGCGATTCTCCTGCCTCAGCCTCCCGAGTAGCTGCGGCTACAGGTGCCCGCCACCATGCCCGGCTAATTTTTGTATTTTCAGTAGAGGCGGGGTTTCACCATGTTGGCCAGGATGGTCTCGATCTCCTGACCTCATGATCCTCCCCTGGGCCTCCCAAAGTCCTGGGATTACAGGCATGAGCCACTGCGCCTGGCCAAGAGTAGATTTAACTAACTTCTTTGTACTGGTTTCTTCTGTAAAACAAAAAAAAAAGGATTTATTAAAAATAATGCCTGCTTTATAGATCTGTTTTGATAATGAGATAGTACTTATAAAGCTCTTATAAAAGAGTCTGGCATATTATAGGTCCTCATACAAGTTAAATGCTGCTCACATCACACTATATTATCATTTTTTTAAATTTTCTGTTTCTACCACTAGGCCATGAGCTTCCTGAGGACAGAGAATGTTTTATTCATTTTTGTATCTTCATTTACTAGAACAGGACCTACCACGTGCCTAGCACAGTGCAGGTATTTCAGTAAATGTTAATCAGATAAGCGGAATAAAGATTTTTTTCTCCTTCACCCATCTTTCTCACTTTTTCTTTCACACTCACCATTTCCTTTATTGTGTCTGAGGACCTTAGGAAAACTGGTGTCTTCCAGCAACAAATTGAGATTTAGTGCATTTTTAGATGTTACTAGAATCAACTTGACTCTGACTTATTTTCTATACCAAAAGTTACTTATATTTTGAGTAGGCCCAATCTGATCTCACAATTAATGTAATTGAGTCATCTATATACCCAGAATAAAGTATGATGGACAGAAAGTCTATGTAAGCAAGGTGTAGCATTAAAGAGAAGGGGAAGAATAACTACTTATCAGATCACCAGTAAGTATTTGTTAAAACAAAAAAATTTCATAATTTTTATACTAGGAATACCTTTAGAGTTTATGTAGTTCATAACTTTAGCTTTATAGATTAGGAAACTGAGATTCAGATAGGATAAATAACATACAGTACATCAGCTTAGTACTGACAAAATCTGGGACTTAAATACATAACTCCTATAATTGTCCTTCCACTACACCACACTGCATAGCATTAAATCATGCATGTTCATAATGTTAACTAACATAGGATATTTATACTATTTTAATAGTAAGACAAAGTGGAGACTCATGGCATTAGACTTAACTTTACTAGAAGTAAGCAGCTGTCTAGTATATCCTTTGGGAGAAAACAATCCTGGCAGAAACGACGTTTTCTTCATCATTGTCTATAAATGTACCAAATTATTAATGAATATTACAGATGCCAATCAAACTGAAAAAATGATAGGTTATAGTGCTATCATTTATTTGATTTTTACATATTGTTAGAGACAACCTTTACAGAGGAACATATAATAATTAGGGCAGTTGTCAGAATGCCTAAATGTCACTATAAAATACACTAGCAATCGAAACCCCTTGGGACAATGTTGATATGTCACCAGTTCTCCTGGGAAGGGAGACTTTTGAAACACCATTTTACAAAATGTAACCAATGTTGCAGGTTAATAGAATCAATAGGTTTCACGTATAAAGCTAAGATTAATGGGCTGGGCAAAAATCCAAGCTCTACTGGGAATTAACAAGTAACTAAATTTGGGGAATAATACGGATAAGAATGGATTATGTCAGTAAAGGGTCAAAATCATAGTTAAATAGATTGCCTAAAATGCTTCCCTTTATTTTCTTCCTCCTCTGATTTCTTTTTGGTCATTTGCCCTTTTTCCTTTTTCTTTTCTTTCTTTCTTTGTCTTTATTTTTCATTAAAAAAATCCCAAACATTATATAACTGCTTGTGGTGCTTTATGAACTCTGCGTCCCTTCTCTTTCTGTATTTCACAATCAACCCTACAAGAAGATCATTAGTCTTATACAAGAAAAAAATGTTTCTTTTAATCATTTTTATTATTTTTCTTAGTGGTTCTTTGCAGTATTACAACATAAGTAACACATACTTTTAAAAAGTCTACTTGTGTCAATTTCTTACCAGTTTGAGTGAAGTGGAGAAGCCTTACTTCCATTTAGGTCTCTTTGCACTCCCCATTTTTTAAAATACTTAAGTATTTAGTTCACGTGCATTGACCACAGCATCAGAATGGGCTGTAATTCTTGCATCAACCATCAAATTTGGGTTAAATAACTCATGAGATGAAGGGAAATCTGTTATATTATATTTACTGCTATGTTTAGTCATTCTCATGTACTTTCTTTTCTAAAGTCCCAAGCCTTCTTGTGTTATAAGTTCCTTTCTATTGAGAGAACTTTCTTTATTCCTTATGGATAGGTCGGCTAGTGGCACATTCTCTTAGTTTTCCTTTATCTGAGAATATTTCCATTTCCATTTTATTTCTGAAGGAAATTTTCACTGGATATAAAGTTTGTGGTTAACAGTTCTCACCACCCCAACCCAACCCTCAGTATTCAAAAATGTCATTCCATTTGTTTCTGATCTCAGTAGATCTCAGTGAGAAATCTGTTGTTATTTGAATTGTCCCTCAGCAAGGCTTTTCTCTTTGACTGCACTCAAGACTTTTTTTCTGTCTTTCATTATTAAAATTTCAATTATTGTGTGTATTGGTATAGATTTCTTTAGATTTGTCTTACTTGATGCACAATTAGCTCCTGGGATTTTGAGGTTTATGTCTTAATGTGAGCTTTGTATTGGTGCTGTAACAAACTATCACAAACCAAGTAGCTTAAAGGAAAACAAATTGATTATCTTACAGTTTTTTTTATTAGAAATCTGATATAGGTGTCAATTGGGCAACAATTAAAGTGTCAGCAAGTCTGTGTTCCTTTCTGGAAGCTGGAGGGAAGAATCCATTTTCTTGCCTTTTCTAGCTTCTAGAGACTGTCGATATTCCATGACTTATGACTTATTTTATTTGTCTTCCAAGCCAACAGTTTTGCGTTTCTCTGAGCATTCTTCTATAGTCAAATCTACCTATGACTCTGAACTCAGCTAGGAAACAGCCTCTGATTTTAAAGATCCATGATATTTGATTCATCCCACTTGGATAATCCAAGATTTTTTTTATCCCAAGGTTGTAAAGGTATCTGCACAGTCCCTTTTGCTATGTTAGATAATATGGAAAGAACACAGTGTTCAGGGGCATGGGCATTTACAGTGGGGTGCAGGCATTTTTCTGCCTACCAAGTGTCTTTTTGCCAAGTTTAGATAGTTTTCAGCCATTATTTCTTTAAATACTTTTTTAGTAATACTCTATCCTCTCCTTCTTCAACTCCAATGACACAAATGTTTGCTTTTATTATTTTCCCAAAGAACTCTGACATTTGTTTTCTTTAGCCTATTTCTCTCTGTTGTTCGGATCAAGCATATTGTATTGATCATTCCTCACATTCACTGATTCTATCATCTGTTATCTCCATTCTACTATTGAGTCAATCCAGTGAGGTTTTATTTTTGGCATTGCAGTTTTCAGGTCTATAATTACCATTTGGTTCTTTTTAGAAATTCTGTTTTTTCTCAAATTTTCTTTTTTTTCAATTGCAAAAGAATTTTTAACTTTTTTAAAAATCATTTTTATGATGGCTGCTTCAAAAACTGTATCAAGTAACTACAACATCTGATTTATCTTGGCATTAATGTCTGTTGATTGTCTTCTCTCATTCAAGTTGGGATTGTTTCCTGGACATATTAGATATTATACTATGAGATTCTGGATATAAAACAAATAAAAATATATATGTACAAAAATGACTTGTACAAGAAGGTTTATAGCAATATTATTGTAATAGTATAAAAACTAAAACCAAAAATGTTTTCCTATCAAATATGGATAATAAAACTTGTTATATTCCTACAATGGTAAACATATTTAGCAATAAATAGAAATGAATTATAGGTACATCCTGTAATATAAATGCATCTCAAAATGTTACATTGAGTTCAAGAAGGCACAGAAGAGAACACAGTGTATGATTCCATTTACGTGAAATTCAAGGACAAGATAAACTAATATATGGCAATAGAAACCAGAAACATGGTTGGTGATAGGAGTAAGCATAACTAAAATGGACACAAAGGATCTTTCCAGAGTGTTGAGAATGTTCTGTGTCTTGATTGAGATGTCAATTGCCTAGGTGTACATATTTATCCAAAATAATTGAATTGTATACTGAAGTTCTGTGCATTTTACTGCATGTAAATTTTCTATCAATTAAAGGAAACTGAAAACATAAATAAAAGTAAATAAATAATGGATGTATTAAGGAAATGAATTAATTTTGAAAAATTCTTGTTTGAAAAATTCTTTTTTAAAAAATTCTTTGTAATCCAATAAAACATCCTATGAAGCATAAATCTCTCCTTTTTTAGAATGGAGATTTTTATGCCTTTAACATGAGAAATCTAACAGGCAAGCAAATAACACGATGCTGTGTCTCAGCCTCAAACTCCCGACCACTGCCTCCCATTTCCACATATCCCAGGTTTTTCTATATCTTCTTTAATAAACCCATAAAATGGTATCTTAGATACATAAAACTTATTGCATTTTGTAGGCAAAGGCAATGTAAGCTCATTTTGATGAATAAATTAAAAATTCTATGTAATCAATTCATGATATTAGGATAGATACAAATAGTCAACTAAAAGCAGCAGGGTTGCCTTTAATCAAATTTCAGTTTGTTGTAACATACTTAAATCATTCTGAGTAAAGAATTACACTCATATGTACAAAGGATAAATATGTCAACAAAAAGCGAAAAAAAAAAAGGTATGATTTATTTCACCATAGTTTTCTCACTGAACTGCTGTTTCTTTCTGCCTGGGCATACAGTATTGACCAGAAGTATAACTAGAAGCACATCAAGGTGTTAATTTACCGTCAGTCCACCAAAAGAATTTCTTTGATATCCTGACTGATTGTAGCTCTGTTCTATGATGTAGTCTTTGTTGACCAAGCTGGAGATCAAAAGGTACATTTCATGCCCTCTACATATTCACATAGTAGCTTTTTCTCTGGGATAGTAACCTCAAACATTATCATTTATTGTTTATCCTATACAGTTTCAACAAATAAATTGCTTTGCTCCACAGGGGAAATAGAACATTTAAAATAAAAACATTATGGGCAGTATTCCACAATGTAATTGCAATAGTAGTTTGTAATAGTAAATTCTGTGTAAAGCCAATTACTATAATAAATCTAGATAGGGCCGGGCGCAGTAGCTTATGCCCATAATCCCAGCATTTTGGAAGGCTGAGGCAAGCTGATCACCTTAGGTCAGGAGTTTTGAGACCAGCCTGGCCAACATGGCAAAACGCCATCTCTACCTTAAGAAAAAAAAAGAAAAAAAGAAAAAAAAAGAAAAAATTAGCTGGGAATAGTGGTGTATGCCTGTAGTCCCAGCTAGTCGGGAGCCTGAGTTAGGAGAATCACTTGAACCCGGGAGGCAGAAGTTGCAGTGAGCTGAGATCACACTGCAGCACTCTAGCCTGGGCAACAGAGTGAGATTCTGTCTCAAAAAAATTACAAAATAAATCTAGATATTGACAATATTATTGCTGTCATAATTACAGAATTGATGGGTAAAAGGTATTTTAAGTTATCTAAAATATCCTTGTACAAATAAAAGCTGTTCAAATTTCTATGCTGCTAGGTTCTTATGCCAAAGCTCACCAGTCTTTACATGAATATACATTTTGTTTTGATGATATTTTTTCAGTAGGGATGACAGTTTACTTCATTTACAAGATCAGGTACACAAATGGCCATCATTGAGAAAGCTTATATTGCAGAGGAAGCTAAAAAATACTTCGTTACAATTCAAAACAGACCACTAAAGAAGAGAGAAAAGGAAAGAAATCTAGACGTTGATCCCCATTCTGTCTGGATAGAAAGCTTGCAGTAAAAGATGTGATCTGATTCTCCCTGAAAGCACATTTTACATGAATCCTGTGAGTATCTGACTCACTGAACATGTTACCTTTTGCGATGGTTAATTTTAGATGTCAACTTGACTGGATAAAGGAATATCTAGAGATCTGGAAAACCATTACTTTTGGCTGTGTCTATAAAGGTGTTTCCAAAAAAGATTGGCAGGTGCATCAATGGACTGAGTAAGGAAGATCTGCCCTCAATCTGGGCAGGCACCATCCAATCAGGTTGGAGGCCCCAAAAGAACAAGAGAGAGAGAAATATTTTTCTCTCTGTCCTGGAGCTAGGACACTCTCCTCCTCCTGCTCTTGAACATCAAAACTCCAGATTCTCTGGCCTTGGAATGCCAGGACTTACACTCATGCCCTCCTACCTGGTTCTCAGGTCTTTGGCCTAAGACACCACCAGCTTCCCTGGTTATGAAGCTCTCAAACTTGTACTGAGCCATGCTACCAGCATCCCAGGGTCTCCAGCTTGCAGATGGCTTGTCATGAGACTTTTCAGCCTCTGTAATTGCAAAAGCCAATCTCCTAATAATCCTCTCTAATATATCTATATTATATTAGTTCTGTTTTTCTGGAGAACCCTGACTGACACACCTGTCTTAAGGCAAAGAATATTTTGTGGGCCCTGGAATTGTGTCAAATGTACTGTGTACTGATAATGTACCATTTTTATGGAAATCACCAGAACCAAACGGTTATTCAGAGATCAGGTGACCTTGATAAGAGCCATTCTCTTGGTCTGAAGCTATACCATGTTCCAGGTATAGTTCTACTGCTCTGGATGTGGAGCTCAGTCCTAGAATCAGAGAAATAAATATTGAAATAATAATAGGATGGTTTATTGTTGGAGTTTTAGCACCTTCAATGCTGTCTCTACTATGTAACCATCAAAGAGGGCCACTATAGGCTTGAATGATGAGAAGTGCATTGATGTTGAAGAAGAAAAGTGTTCATTCTGCCTATTTGGCTTGAAGAAGAATTTTTTTTTTATCATTTTCTAATCCTGACACAAAACAATAATTAATATAATTACTGTTTATTGTACAAAGTTGCTAAAGTCAAAGCATTTAATACATTACACATAGATAAACCATCAAATATGTACAATTTGTATTTTAAAAACTTTTTTGAATGTCACTTATCAATAGGATATAACTAATTTCATTTATGTTTCAGCTGAAGAATTAGCACCTGAAAAGTACATTGACATTGCCGGTGGTAGTATGTCTGTGTTGGACCTATACCCAACCAAGACCTCCAAAATAAGGATGGCCCACTCTGTGATCAGGGTTCTTGAAACAGACAGAACCAATAGGATATATGTGTATATAAAAGGGAATTTATTATGGAGAATTGGCTTACGTGATTACAGGGCAAAGTCACATGATAGGCCATCTGCAAGCTGGGGAAGAGAGAAGCCAGTAGTGGCTCAGTCCAAGTCTGAAAGCCTCAAAACCTGGGAAGCCTATAATACAACCTTCAGTCTGTGACTAAATGCCCAAGAGCCCCCTGGGAAGCTAGTGGTACAAGTCTCAGAGTCCAAAGGCTGAAGAACCTTGAGTATGATGTCCAAGGGCAGGAGTAGCATAAGCAAGCATCCAACATGACAAGAAGAGAGCCAGAAAACTCAGCAAACAAAGCTATCCCATCTTCTTCCACCTGCTTTTCCAGCCACACTAGCAGCCAATTGGATGGTCCCCAATCACACTGAGAATGGGTCTTCCTCTCCCACTCCACTGACTCAAATGTCAGTCTCCTCTGGCAACACCCTCACAGACACACCCAGAAACAACACTTTACCAGCCATCTAGGTATCCCTCAATCCAATCAAATTGGCACCTAATGTTAACCACCACACCAATAAAATAATATTTTCTAGGCACTTGGAAAAATATAACCCTAATTTCTTAGTTTCACTTTTCATTACCTGTTTTCTCATATTTATTTATTACCTATCAATTACCATAGAGCAGGCACTTGTATTTCTTACTACTATGCCATACTTAAAAGATTGAGGGCACGTATACACTCATTAAATACTTGTGTTAGGAAAAAATTGATAATACTCAATAAGCTCTGAAGACAAATGGTCTGTGGGTGACTGAGGAGATAAATAGATATCTACCTATTTAGATGTTGACAGCTCTTACCCATCTATAATTGCCTAAGTATAACTTGTTTGTATTATTATAAGTAATATAGCTTGCTCCTATTTCTTATTATGGGTTATGCTTTGGCCATCTCTGAAGATTTCTTAGTCCAGGAGGAAATTGCACTGATGGAGGTCATAACTGTCTATTAGTCAGGGTCCTTCAGAGAAACAGAACCAATAGGAAAGAGAGATTGAGAAAAAATGAAAGATTCTAAGAGAGAGATTATAAGGAATTGGCTCACATAGCATTCATACAGGAGGTTAAGAAATTCTAAGATCTGCAGTTGGCAAGGTGAAGATTCGAGAGAGCTGACTGTGTAAGTTCCAGTTTAAGTGCAAGGTCAATCAGTCAGGCAGCTGAAATACCCTCTTCTTAGGTCTTTTTTGTTCTATTTAGGTCTTCAATTGATTGGATGAGGGCAACTCCTATTTGAGAGGGCAATTTGCTTTGCTCAGTCTATGGATTCAAATGTTAATCTTATCCAAAAACACCCTTACAGGCATACCCAGAAAAATGTTTGACCAAATGTTTGGACACCCTATAGCCCAGTCAAGTTGACATATAAAATTACCCATCACACTATCCATTAAAGCCCTTTGACTGGTTTTATACAGAAGTCTATAGTGAGATGGTATTGTTTTCGAGTGGGTTCCACTTTCTGAGGTATCTCCAGCTTCTTTCACTATAAGTCTGATTTGTCTGGGCAAGCAGGATGAGAATAAATACTTCAACTATAGTAAATTTTACAAGTTAATGCCTTCCTGTGGAATAACTGGGGACAACCAGCTGATCCTCTTTGGCAATAATCTTCATGTATAGTATTATAATGGTTGTAGTGAGCTATTAAAGCTTTAAGAAAGTCAATTGTTTTTAAGTAAATTTGCTATAAGTCTAGTAAAAATAATTTAAAATCTTTATATTTTTGCTAATATAAAAATATATTAGCAAATATATATATGCTATTAATATATGTTATAATACATTTATATAATTATATATAAGCAAATATAATGACTGAACAGCGTTCCATATATAATATCACATATTATAAAATTATATATTATTTCAGAAAATGTTATAATAATGGAACACAGTTCTCCAGAGAAACAGACCAACATGTAAAAATCAAGGTAGTTCTTTGTTGCTACAGCACAGAATGTGATGGAGAGAGGAAGCAGATGTGGCTACAATGGCCAGTTCAAGAAGAATCTTGTAGGAACTAAAAATCTAAACTCTTAGACAGAAATGTAAGAGTAAATCTTCATGACCAAAAAAAAAACCCACACCTTTGCAGTCACTCCTCCTTCCTCTCTTCCCACAGCATCTGGCCCTAATCACTAATCTACTTCTGTCCCTATAGTTTTGTTTATCCATTCATTCCTGTGCATTGGGATTGCTTTTTCTTTTTGGTGATTATGAATAATGCCCCTATGAACATTTGTGCGCAAGTTTTCATGTGGACATACATATTTTTAATTCTCATGGGTGTATACAGGAGAAGCGAAATTACTAGATCATATAGTAACTTGTTTAACATTTTTAAAAATTGTAATTGATGCATAATGTACATATTTATGGGGTACATGTGATATTTTGATACAAGTCTACTGCGTAATGATCAAATGAGGGTAATTGGAGTATCTATCACCTCAAGAATTTATCATTTTTTTGTGTTAGGAACATTTCAAATCTCTTCTAGTTATTTGAAATATACAATAAATGATAGTAAACTATAGCTGCCCTATAGTGTTTGATATTGGTGCTATTAAACACTAGAGCTGATTTCTTCTATCTAATTGTATTTTTATACCAATTAAACAACCACTCTTCATTCCCACCTCTGAACTACTCTTCCCAGCCTCTGGTAACCAGCATTCTCTTCATTATCTCCATTAGATCAATTCTTTTTGCTCCTACATATGAGTGAGAACATTAAATATCTGCCTTTATGTTCCTGGCTTATTTTACTTAACATGATCTCCACTTCCATCCATCTTGCTGAAAATGATGGGATTTCATTTTTTAAGGTTAAATAATATTTCATTATGTATATAAACCACATTTTCTACATTCATTTACACACTAATGGAAATTTGACTTGATTTCATATTTTGACTACCTCGAATATTGCTGTAAGAAAGATGGGAATGCAGATATCTCTTAGATTTATTGATTTCCATTCTTTTGAATATATAACAAGTACTGAGATTGCTGGATTCTATAATAGTTCTATTTTTAGTTTTTTGAGGAACACTTATACAGTTTTATATAGTGGCTGTACAAACTTACATTCCCACCAACAGTATAAGACAGTTGCCCTTTGTGTACTTCTTTGCTAGCATCTGTTATATTCTGTCTTTTTGATAATAGCCATTTGACTGGGGTGAGATGATATCTCACTGTGGTTTTGATTTTCATTTCCCTGATGACTAGTGATGTTGAACACTTTTTTATATGCCTGTTGGCATTTGTATATCTTCTTTTGAGAAATGTCTGTTCACATCTATTGCATATTTTTTAGTTGGATTACTTGTTAGTTTGCTACTGAGTTGTTTGATTTCCTTTTATACTTTGGTTATTAATCCCTTGTCAAAAAAAGAGTTTGCAAGTATTTTCTCCTATTCTTTATCTGTTTATTTTGTTGACTGTTTTCTTTGCTATGCAGAAGATTTTTAGCTTAACATTAATTATCTCATTCTTAAATTTTTGCTGTGGTGCCTGTGGTTTTGAGGTCTTTGCCCACATCAATAAAATCTTGAAGTCTTCATGCCCAGTCTAATGAAGTCTTTACCCATATCAATGTCTCAAAGCATTTCCCCAATGTTTTGCTGTAGTAGTTTCATAGTTTCAGGTCTTACATTTATGCATTTTAATCTATTTTGATTTGATATTTATATAGGGTGAGGGGGTCTAGTTTCATTCTTTTGCATATTGATAACACAAAAATATAAATGATTGTTATAGATCTGTATGAACAACTATATGCCAACAAATTGGAAAACCTAGATGAAATGGATAAATTCCTAGACCTATGCAACTTGCCAAATTGAACCATGAATAAATAAGAAAAAAAAAACTGACCAGACAAATAATGAGTAATGAGATACAAGCAATAATAAAAAGTCTCCTATCAAAAAAAAAAAAAAAAAAGCCCAAGACCTGATGGCTTTACTGCTGAATTCTACCAAACATAAACAGAGAACTAATACCAGTTTTACTGAAACTCTTTGAAAAAAAAAAATTGAAGAGGAGGGTATAGGGTATACTTCCATACTCATTCTGTGACATTAGCATTACCCTGATACCAAATCCAACCAAAGACACAACAAAGAAAGAATAATACAGGGCAATATCCCTGATGAAAATGGATGCAAAAATCTTCTTTAAAAAGTTTAACATTTTGAGAAACTGCCAAACTGCTCTCTAAAGTGTTCCAAACATTTTACAATGCCACCAGCAGTATACAAGTGTTCCAGTTTTGCCACATTTTCATCAATACTTGTTATTGTCTGTTTCTGATTTATTTAAAAAATTAGGCCGGGCATGGTGGTTCATGCCTATAATCCCAACATTTTGGGCGGCTGAGGCTGGCAGATCACAAGGTCAGGAGTTCGAGACCAGCCTGGCCAACATAGTGAAACACTGTCTCTACTAAAAATACAAAAAAATTAGCCAAGTGTGGTGGTGCACGTCTGTAGTCCCAGCTACTCGGGAGGCGGAGGCGGGAGAATCACTTGAACTCAGGAGGCAGAGGTGGGTGACAGAGTGAGACTCCGTCTCAGAAAAAAAAAGAAAAAATTTAGATATCTTAGTAGATGTGAAGTGACATCTCATTTTGGTTTTTATTTGCATTTTCCAGTGACTAATGACGTTCAGCATCTTTTCATGTGTATGTTGATTATGTATGTCATATTTGAATATTTCTATTGAAATCCTTTGCCCACTTTTTAAGTGGGTTATTTGTCTTTCAACTGTTGAAATATAAGTATTCTTAACCTATTCTTAATACAAGTCCTTTGTCAAGGCATTTCTAAAGACATAAAACTTAGAAGCCTTACATTTAATTACATAAAAATTCAATAGTCTCTATAAAATATGAAATCATGCCATTGAAAAATCCAAAAGAAAAATATCAAAGATATAAATGCCAAACTGTGGAAAATATGTCTCCCTATTCAATAAATGGTGTTGGGATAACTGGCTAGCCATATACATAAGATTGAAGCTGGACCCCTTCCTTACACCAAAAATCAACTCAAGATGGATTAAAGACTTAAATATAAAACCCAAAACTATAAAAACCCTGGGAGACAACCTAGGCAACACCATCCTGTACATAGGAACGGGCAAAGATTTCATGATGAAGACGTCAAAAGCAATCAAAACGAAAGCAAAAATTGACAAGTCGGATCAAATTAAACTCAAGAGTTCCTGAACAGCAAAAGAATCTATCAACAGAGTAAACAGACAACCTATAGAATGGGAGAAAATATTTGCAAACTTCATCTGACAAAGGTCTAATATCCGGCATCTATAAGGAACTTAAATTTACAAGAGAAAACAATCCCATTGAAAAGTGGCCAAAGGACATGAACAGACACTTTTCAAAAGAAGACATACACCGGGCCAACAAGCATATGAAAAGAAGCTCAATATCACTGATCATTAGAGAAATGCAAACCAAAACAACAATGGTACACCATCTCACACCAGTCAGAATGGCTATTAGTTAAAAGTCAAAAAAACAACAGATGCTGGTGAGGCTGCAGAGAAAAGGGAACACTTATAAACTGTTGGTGGGCACGTAAATTAATTTAGTCATTGTGGAAAGCAGTACGGTAATTTGTCGAAGAGCTAAAAGCAGAACTACCATTCGACCCAGCAATCCTATTACTAGGTGTATATCCAGAGGAATATAAATCATTCTACCATAAAGACGCATGAACACGAATGTTCATTGCAGTGCTATTCACAATAACAAAGACATGAAATCAACCTAAATGGCCATCAATGACAGATTGGATAAAGAAAACATATAAATATACACCATGAAACATATGCAGCCATAAAAAAAGAACAAGTTGATATCTTTAACAGGAACATGGATGGAACTGGAGACCATCATCCTTACCAAACTAACACAGGAATAGAAAACCAAATACTGCATGTTCTCACTTAGAAGTGTGAGCTAAATGATGATAACTCATGAGCACAAAGAAACAACAGATGCTGGGGTGCACTTGAGATTGGAGGATATGAGGAGGGAGAGGAGCAGAAAAGATAACTATTGAGTACTGAAATTGATATCTGGGTGATGAAATAATCTGTACAACCCCCATGACACGAGTTTACCCATGTAACAAACCTTCACATGTACTCTTGAACATAAAAGTTAAAAAAATGAAATATTAATACAGACTATAATATAGATATCCCTTTAAAAGATTATGCTATGTGAAAGAAGCCAGCCACAAAGACCATATAGTGTATTATTTCATTTACATGAACAGTCCACAATAAACAAATCCATAGAGACAGAAAGTAGATCAGTGATTGTTCATTGTTAGGGTCAGGGAGGGTGATTGCAGGAGAAATGGGGAGTGACATGAAAACAGGTATGGGATTTCTTTTGGGGTGAGAAAATGTTCTAAAATTGTGTGATGATAGTTGCACAACTCTGTAATTGTAGTAATAACCAGTGATTTCTATGCTTCAAATGGATACATTATATGAGAATTATATCTCAATAAAGGTCTGATAAAAAACTCAAAATAGGCTGGGCACAGTGGCTCATGCCTGTAATCCCAGCACTTCAGGAGGCCGAGGTGGGTGGATCACCTGAGGTCAGGAGTTCGAGACCAGCCTGACCAACATGGTGAAACCCTATCTCTACTAAAAATACAAAAATTAGCCACGCGTGGTGGCAGGCGCCTGTAATCGCAGCCACTTGGGAGGCTGAGGCAGGAGAATCGCTTGAACCCAGGAGGTGGAAGTTGCAGTGAGACGAGTTTGTGCCACTGCACTCCAGCCTGGGCCACAGAGCGAGACTCTGTCTCAAAAAAACAAAACAAAACAAAAAAAACTAAACTAGACCCCCACCTCTCACCATATACAAATATCAAAGCAATATAGATTACTTAAATCTAAGACCCTAAACCATGATAATACTACTACTAGAAGAAAACCCTGGGGAGACCCTCCAGGACATTGATTTGAGAAAAAATTTCTGTGTAAGACCTCAAAAACACAAGCAAAGAAAAAATGTATAGATGGGATTACATCAAGCTAAAAACCTTCTGTGTAGCAAAGCAAACAATCAACAAAGTGAATAGACAACCCACAGAATGGCAAAAAATACTTGCAAACTATCTAAACAAGGGATTAATAACCAGAATATATAAGAAGCTCCAACTCAATAGCATCTAAAAGTGGGCAAACAATCTGAACAGACATTTCTCAAAAGAAGGTATACATATGGCCAACAGGTATAAGAAAAAAAAATGGTCAACATCACTAGACATCAGAGAAATGCAAATTAAAACCATAGTGAGATATCATCTCACCCTAGTCAAACAGCTACTATCAAAAAGACAGAAACTAACAGATGCTGGCAAGGAGGTGGAGAAAGTGCAACTCTCCTACACGTTTTGTGGGAATGTAAATTAGTACAGCCACCGTGGAAAACTGTATAAATGTTCCTCAAAAAGGTTCTATTTTTAGAACTACTATACAATCCAGCAATCCCACTACTGGGTATACATATTTAAAAAAATAAAAAGGAAAACCAGTGTATCAAAGAGACATCACACACTGATATTTATTGCAGCACTATTCACAATAGCCAAAGAATGGAATCAACCTAACTTCCTATCAGTATATGAATGCATAAAGAAAATGTGGTATATATACACAAGGGAATACTATTCCGTCAGAAAAATGAATGAAATCATGCCATTTGCAACAAGATGGATGGAATTGGAGGTGATGTTAAGTAAAATAAGCCAGGGACATAAAGGCAAATATTGCACATTCTCGGTCATATGTGGGAGCTAAAAAAGTAGGACTCTTGAAGATAAAGAGAAGATTGGTGATTACCAGAAGCTGGGAAGGGTAGAGGGGAGAGAGAAATGAAAACAGACTGGTTAATGGGTACAAATATACAATTTTGTGGAAGAAATAAGACCTAGTGTTTGACAAATCAGTGAGGTGATTATACTTTACAATAATCTATTGTGTATTTCAAAATAACTCGCAGAAAAGGATTCAAATGTTTCTAATGTAAAGTAAAGACAAATATTAAAGGTTTTGTAAATCCCAATTACATTGATTTGGTCTTTACAAATTATATGAATGTATTAAATTATCACATGTACCCCCAAAATATATACATATATTATATAGCAATAAAAATAAAATTAAAAATAAATAATGTGATATTGAATTATAACCCAAATATAAAATATATATTCATGAGTCTATACTGATAAACGCATGTTTGAATAAATAAATGAGGCAGAAGAGATTAATTATCTTTACCGAAGAATCCCATATAATACATATAGGTGTTCCCTCCTCTAGGAGTGAAGTTTAATTCCATCCTACACTGAAGAGTGGGCTAGATATACTTAGTGACTCTCTCTTTCAAGTAATAGAAAAGGGAAAGAAGAAAATAGCAACTTTACAGTGGAGAAACCTGGCAAACACTACCTTACCATGTGATCAAAGTTACCATCATCAGTGATGTCATGTGGATATCATGTATTTTCTGGGATTATGTGACAAGAAGGACATTTTACATCTTGATACTTGTCTACAAATTAAAAACCCCACTCTAATCACAAGAAAAATATCAGACAAATCCAAATTAAGGGACATTCAACTAGATACTACTAATCATCTTGATTGTAAGTGTAATCCTCATGAATACCAGGAAAGACTGAGGAAACTGACACACTGAAGACTGCAAAAACATGCAATATGGTACCCTGCATTGCGCCCTGGAACACAAAGTGCACATTAACAGACCATCTAGTGGACTCCAAATAAAGTCTGTAGTTTCGCTCATAGGAAGGCAGTAATTTTGGTCATTTCAAATGGAAAAAAAAGTCTTCAGTCTATATATATCAATAAATATTTCCTAAACACAACTGTGCCTGGACAGAAGCAGGAAAGACCCTGTTATTAGCCTTTTCTTCTCATTGCCTTCTTTTGTTCCCCTATTTTCACTAACTCTTCCCAAGTAGTCTCCATAACTCATTTCTCTAGATGGGGTAAAAGGAGAAATAAGACAGCATTGTTGAACGGGGGCACTTCAGGCTTTCTGAGTGAAAAAATAAATAGGGGAGGGAAACATTTATTCCAATCAAATGTAGTGAAAATTGAGCAGTTTCTTCACCATTAGCTCCTTCTTGGACATCTGTTCATGGATAGATGAACATTCATGTATAGATAACTGAATGCATCAGAAACCTTGAAAATGGCCAAATTGTACTTTTAAGAATCAGGTCACAACCATAACTATTTCTGTAGCAACCATTTCAGTACAGGGAATAAAAACATCTATTTTGAAAAATAAATAAAAAGCCCAAACCAGAAAACCAATGAGAAGTCTGTACTTTAAGAAATGTAATTCTCTTAAAAGAGAATTATTGAAGTACTGAAAATTCTACATTAGGTTCATGTCACGTGTAGAAAGCATCTCTGGTGCTCCCAATCTGCTGTTAAAGATACACCTAATAAAATTTTCATTTGAGTCTTAGCTACATTATGCTTGAAATATAACACTTTTCTCAACTATTAATATTCCATCTATGAAAAAGTATATTAAAATACTTCAATCTACTGATATCTTTTTAATAACCTTTCTTGAATTATTTTTATGTCTTTAAAGCATAATTACATCCAGGTTAACATAAACAAAACTATCACCAAAACTTTGTTAATATCTTTGCATACCTCTAATAACTCAGTCTCATTAGTGACTGTAACCATAATGCAGCTATAAACATTTTTATGAATGGATTTGTACCTCCAATAAATTATAGTCCCATGCACATACACAGCTAATACACCTCCATTTTTACATGGAAGTGGTTTCTTAAAAGGTAATTTTTTTCCTCTTTCTTTCAGGATTTCTGCTTTCTAAAATTCAGTAATGAATGATAAGTCTATAATAAACACAAGCTCCCCTTTTTTTCTCCCCTGAGAACAAACTTTCAAGCTTCGTCAGTATGGAAAGAGAAATTGATGACTATAAGAAACTAGGGGGTGGCGGGGCGGGCAGAGGGAGGAAAGGAGAAAAAACAACAATCTTTGACAGCTGACAAGTGTTAGCTGGCCTGGCAGCCAATAGCTAGGTTGTGTTCCTTGCTGAACATGAACAATTTCACAGAATATCAACATCAGATAAGATTAATATATAACCCTGATGGAACAAGACAAAAACAAGGACACTATGCAACCACATTCCCTTCTGAGCAACTAACGGTCTCTCATCAGTAATAGTCTTACTTAATTCTGGCTACCTCTTAAATTAACATTATTAATGTACTCAGTCAACAAATAGCCCTCATTTTCTGACAACACAATCAGGGACAGACACACAGATCACCCAGTGCAAACCCAAACCCTATAAAAATTCCATCTCACTGAGATTATTTTCCCCATAGGATGCAGTTTTTCTTGCTGCAGTGAGTTAATACAACTAAATTTGTTTGATTACAATTATGTTCTTGGTGATATTTGGGCACTAGGATTTGATAAGACAAACATAAAAACTGGAAAAAATTGTTGGGAGAGAAAAGTTCTTGGTTTGGTTGCTATTGTTGGGTGTGGTGGAGATGACATGTATGTATGTGTTGGACCATGGTAGGGGGAAGAGCAGAAGAGGGTTACATAACATGGATGAAGAATGCGTTATATGAGAGACTTATTCTGCTCTATTTTTCTTTCCTATATTGTCCTGATCCTCATATTGCCCTTATTCCCAACATTACCCTCTGCCTTCCACCTTTACTGGAAATCAAAAAATAATAATGAAATCAGCATTGCTGTTCTTGTTCAAGTCTATTAATAACACTTCTCTCTTTGCCAGCTAAGATCTGAACCAATCAGTAGACACAAGATTGAGATAAATGGATGTCAAATAGGAGTTTGGGGTTTTTTGTTTTGTTTTTTTGTTTGTTTGTTTGTTTATTGTTACCAGATAAAGGCTAGATTAGTAAAACTAAAGAAAGTGACCAGATTGGCTTGCTAATGCTCTCTGTTTTGTCTCTCCTAGCTTAGATTTTGGGAGACCCTAACCAAGGGAATGTTTAGTTTTCAGCACAGATGTAACTACTTAGGATTTCTTATTTATACTGGTGCAAAATAAAGAATGAAATAGAGAGGCAAGATTCTGTGTGCTTACAAATGTGCTACTACATTATCTTCACTCAGTTCAGAATGTAGACCAATAATGTCACCCGATATGTCAGACCAATAATAATGTCACCTAATAGCTTACTCCAAAACAGCACTGTAAATGGAGATCTCTGTGTATGGAAACATATGTACTACATTTTAGTAGATCATCTTGATACTCTCCAGTGATTTTTATTCATCTAATCCATTGAGCTTATTCATTAAACCTATGATCGTACATGTCTGTGGCTATCCTTCTCAGCAGGGTAAGGGAAGTCTCATTTCTATCTTCATGTAGCCACCTCACTAATATCAACTATTGATACCTCTGATGGTCAGTACCAATTTTGCCCTCCAGAAGGCACTGAAATGAATAAGAGCAGTGTACTTAATTAGTTAACTCCAATGTCACACTCTATTTGAAATTGAAAGTGTATTCCCTGTTCTAATCACCTCCAGCCACATTGTCTTATATAGGTCATGAGGGGCTCTGCAATTACATGAAATAACAATATTAATATACTTCAGCAATAAAGTGCAACGTCATCAAGATGTCCAGGGTTGAATATAAACTCCTCCTATAATGAAATTCAAATTCAAATATAATGCCTTTGTGCTTAAGTGTATAGGCTCTGAACCAGACTACCTGACTTCAAATCCCAGTTCTTACACTTACTAGGTTTATGATACTGAGCAAGTAAATTAATATCCCTGTGCCTCAGTTTTCTAACCTGAAAAGTGAGGGTAACAATGTGACATGCAAGGTTGTCATGAGAACTGAATAAATTATATATGTAAACCATTTAAAGACATGGCTGACAGATAAGAGGTGTTCAATTTTACTATTGTACTTGTAATTTGGACTCAAACATTCTTAAAGTCCCCAAATTATGTTTTCTTGGAAAAATTACTCCTTATAGACTTTAATTTCTTATTCTGCTCAGTGTCAGCTAATGTGGTTCTTTATGTCCAAATACTTGAGGAAGTCAGTTCAGTAGCCTCATCCTTAAGGTTTTTACTGGCAAGGTTATTGTTTCCTTGGCACCTCTAAAGCGAATTAATCCCAACTCAAAGTTTCTGATATGGCTCATCTTTGTCTTCAGCCTTATTGAACTATAATTTATAAATGATAAAATTTACCAATTTTAAGTAAATAATTTGATGAGTTCTGAGAATTGCTCATAGTCTTATAGCCAGCACCACAATCATGATACAGAACATTTCCATTATCCAAAAAAAATCCTTCATGCCCCATTTTTGTCAATATTCTCTGCCAAAACCCTGAACCCTAGCAATACCAGCCTGCTTTCCATCACCGTAGTCTTGAATTTTCTGAAATTTCATATAAATATAATCATACATTATATAGTCTTTTCTTTCTGGCTTTCACTTAGGAAAATTCTTTTGAAATTCATTCATTTTCTTGAATTTTTCAGTAGTACATTTTGTTTGTCATTGTTACTAAGTAGTAGTTCATTGTATGGTCATACCACTTTTTCTTCACAAAAAAAAATTGGAATATGATAGATATTCTCAGATAAGTGGGATAAAGAGACAAAGCTACTCAAAAATCCTGTCTGGCTGTTCTGAGGACTGAGAGGATCAGTGTCATGTTGTTTTGTGAAGACAAATTTCTTGCCCATAATATTTACATTTCTGCTGGCATTAAAATAACCCCGACCCTGTATTGTATGCCCATATTGTACTACTTCTCCAAAAACACTCTACTTTTTATCCTCACTGCACCAACTACAAGAGCCTTCAAATATCCTTGTTTTTACAAATGTAGTTCCCTTTGTCAGGAATTCCCTCCCCTTCCTTGTCATAACAAATTCCTTCCTGCTCATTATTCTTTACAGCTCAGTTGAGTGGTCACCTCCCCTGTCATGTCATTCCTGATCTTTTCAAGCAGAATTAGTTGCTTCTTTCTTGGTGTTTCCAAAGCACCATGTATGTGACTCTCCTTATCACTCATTTAATGATCATTTCTGACCAGATTCAGGTATGTCTCTCTTATGGAAAAGACAGTGTTGTTCTACTTTGTTTCCCCAACTGTAAGTTCAGGGAAGTATATACTCAATAAAGGTTTGTTTAATAAAAGAAAGGAAATTAATAAATGAATGCATGAAAACACACTGCTATTGATACACATCTGTCATAGACAATGCCAGCGTGTGAATGAACACAACCCACTGCTCTAATTGCCTGGAAATCGACTTCTTTGCACCCCATCAGATTTTGGTGGGACAAGAAATCTGTTCATGCTCTGATAAATCTTGCTGAATTTTAAGGAAACAACTGCTATCCACTGAAAAACATACTTAATTATTCACAGTGCATAGGAGTTTCCGTGACATGACTAGCAAAATCTCCTGGCCCTTCAGATGTGAAAGATGCATTTATAATTAAAATGTGACCCATACTGCATCCTGCTGCCAGATTTCCTTGAGTAGTCACTGGAGATTAAATTCTAATTATGACATTTGAAGAAATAAAATTCTCTAGGGAAAGCAGCCTCCAAAGATAGACTATATGTCGACAGCTGTTGTGGAAATTACTTATTTTAACCTTTGCCATAAAAATTGTAAAACCAGCCCAGCTCTTTCTCTGTAGGAGACATTTTGGGAGATGGATTTGTAGATGTGTTTTGGGGATTAGCCTAAAGTCAAGACAGTATCATTTCACAACAGAAGTTCCATTAAAGTTTCTTAAATTTCAGTGAACTTCTGTTCAGGAAGTCCTTTTAAATTCTGATGAGCTGACATTTGAATGTTTCTGTAGCAGATGGCTATCAGCTAAAAGAAGTATACAATATTTTACTCTTACTAGCTGAAACTAAATTTGGAAGATATGATAGATTTTTTTAAATTAAAACTCTTAGAAGCTAGGGTCATACATTTCATATATTTAAAAATGGGAATTCAACCTGCATTGGACTTGAACTCAAGTTTCCATGTGTAATGTTTTCGTGGATTTCAAGACTGGCAACAGATGCAAGCTTCTCCAAGCCATCTGTAATATAGCTGTATAGAATATATTTAAAGGTCATTATATTTAATCAAATATTATTGACTACAACATTAAGGCATAATAATCTATCTGAGAGTTGGGTTATCCACCAATTTTTCTTCTAGAAAACTCTATTCAAGGCTTTTTTAAGATAGTCTTGCTGAATTTTTTAAATTCTGGAGAAGATTTAAAGGAAGAATTGGTCAGGTTTCCTTACCTACAGGGATTTCAAAATCCTCATGTAAAGATAAAATTAATATACATGGAGAATCACATATTTAACAGAACACAAACATTAAAAAGAAACCAAAATACCTTGCCAAATCTCAGTATTTACAGATGATGACTGACTATAAAGATGCTAAATTCTTTAGTTAAAGATTTCCATCTAATTAGAAGCAGAGTTTAAGATGTGCTTCTGTTCTTCTCAAAGTATTGCAATTATTTTTATATTCTAGTAGTTCTGCTTTTCTGATTGCATGGTGAGTGATAGAAAATTCAAATTTTTATATCATCACAGCCTACGTTCCTTCTAAAAAACACTTTTCCCTATTTTTGGTGGTGTTTTACCGTATTAATGTAAGGCTATATTTGGAGATTCGGATGCACTAAATACCTTACAATTCTCCTTTTCAAAATGACCTTCTCACCAAAAAGAGAGTCAAGAAGCCTCATAAGTTTCTCCCTCACTCAACAGTGTCATCATCAACCACTAGTAAATAACTCCAGACAAGTAAAGTGCTAGCTGTTTCAGAGTTTAATGAATAGCTTTATGGGCTCCTTCTCACAGCTGTCATTGTTCTGACAAAGTGATTGAATACAACTCTTGTACCATACCAATGAGAGCTGCCCACAAAGGGCACTACATATTTCCGAGTCCTTCTGGTTGCATGATTCCAAGACAACACTGAAGTGCTCAAACCAGCAACTGTTTACTCCAGGGGACGGTAAACTCTGATCTCCTGGAACCACATTCTGTAAAAGAGTCATAGATCAAAATTCATTTCTTAAAATGGCATGCACATATCCCAATAGAATTAGATAATGTGCATCTTCTGAAATCTAATCACATTAAGTGGTTGTTGAGCAATATTTTCATTCATTCCAGTTAAGCACTTAAAATTTAAGAAGGAGAGTACAGCATTAAATGACAACTTACTTTCAGTTCAAAAGGTTGTCTGTCAATCTTGCCTTGTTTTCGTCTGCAGCTGGGTTAGTTCCTTACAGCTCAACCTATTGGTGACCCCACTTGCATGCAAACTGTTACCTGTTGCAGTTTCTGTGCTAATCCTGACATATATAAGAAATAGATCAGTATTCTCACATTCTCACCACCTCCCTCCTGGTCGGGCCCAGTGTGACTTAAATCTTACACCTACTGAGAGTTAAAATTTCTTTTGCTAGCCAAGGTTGCTGACTTACCACATTGCTTTTTGAGATAACTTCTCTAACAATGAAATTCAGGTTTAATGTCCCCGTGGATATCCCCTGAGAATCTATTGGCCCTTTAGGTCAAAGCTGTCTGCTTCTTTTCCTTCTGTTGTTTTTATTCATAAGACTAAACTTCTGCTCTGGTCCTTCCTCCTAACCCTCAGCTAAGTACTGCCTAGTACTCTAGTTCCCTCTTGAGGACCATATGCTTGGCCTTGCCCAGACATATCCCTTTCCAAGGTAGCCCAATCTAGTGGCCAGGCTTCCAAAGTGGGTCATGATGAGTATGGACTCATGGATATAAACGTCTTAAATCCCAAATGCTTATTTCATCTGTATTCCCTGCTATAGTGATTTCTCCTTCCAGCATCATAGGTCATGTATTTGCACTTGATAATTTTATGACAGGTTAGACACCCATAATCACTTGACTAATTCCTTCACTCAGTATTTCTTTATTGCTATGTATTCGTGTTTTAAATGGTCACAATCCATGACTTCACTCTACAACTAAATAAATTACTTTGAAAAGGCATACACAGAAGATGAATATATAAGAAATACACAATTTTGAGGCAGATGCAATTCATAACATAATTCACCACCAGGAAAGGAATACTTTTATTGAGCATCCATGCACAATGCTAGGATCAATATCTGATAAAATGGACAGTTATATAGCTTATAAACATACAAAGTCCATATTTCCCAGACCATGGCAACCTAAAGTATAAATAAGGGCATCTTACCAAAGCTATTTGGCTTCAGCATCATTTGCTCTATAGGAACTTAATTCACACTCAAATACCTACCCTGTGGTTCAGAGTCACCAGTCATCTTGTTTACTAAATAGCATGTACTGTTTTCCTCCTCTTCTGCTCTAGCTCACTATGATGATGTTTCCTGTCAGTAATGATTTTAAAAGCCTGAATGCCGCTATTGATGTCTGCTGGCTCCCACTGATGCCAATGCCAACAAAAGTCCTAAGTGTTTGTGTTAAGCCAATGACAGAGGTTAAGAATATCTGTGTTGATGCTAAAGATGGCACAGCCTGCTATGTACTTGCTTTAGTAGATGTCAGTTCTTATGTCTCCCCTTGATCTTTTCTTTTTCTTTTGGGAATACTGCCTATCTTCTGCAAAGACATGCTCTGTCTGACCCAAGCACTAAATATGAGTTCTGAAAGGTTAGATATTCTTAAAAGCATCCCTACCTCTCCATCCTCCATCTACATCATTTGCTTGATGCTGGATACCTAACTCAAACTAACCCACTACTAGGGTTAGTTTGGGCTTTAATCTTTCTCACCCTAGGTTTCACTTACAAATCCATGCAAGCTATGCAAGCTACTATAACTTGACCCTAGATTAAGCAAGGGTCAGTTTTTCCTGAAAAACAGCTGATGAGGCCCTGGAGATTTTTTAAAACCATATTGTTTGCCATGTGGAAGACTTCCAATTTGCATCATGAGAGAATTAAGTCAGAACAGAGAAAGAGAAGACAGAAGAGATCTAGAAAGATCCCTGGCATCATTCACTTCCTTAATAAGAAGTATATCTAATGTCTAGCTTCAATTGCCCTTCCCTACAATCACTTAACCTTTCACTGAGATAAATTAGTATTTTTCCCATAAATTCCTCTGATTTTCCAAGCTAATTCAAATACAGTTTCTGTTATTTTCATCATGAAAGAGAAAGAGAGAGAGAGGAAGATGCTATAGTTGGACGTTTGTCCCAGGAAACCTCAAGTTGAAACTTGATCCTCAATGTTGGAGGTGGGGCCCAATGGGAGGCTTTTGGGTCATAGGAATGAATCCCTCATGAATAGATTAATGCCCTCCCTGAGAGGAGGAACTTTCATTACCAGGAGAGTTCCTCTGAGTGCTGGTAATTAAAAAGAGCCTGGCACTGCTTCCCTTGCTCTCTCTCTTGCCATGTGATCTCTGCATGCACCTACTCCCCTTTGCCTTCTACCATGAGTGGAAGAAGCCTGAGGCTTTCACCAGAAGTGGATGCTGGTGCCATGCTTCTTGTATAGCTTGCAAAACCGTAAGACAAATAAACCTCTTTTCTTTGTAAATTACCCAGCCTCAGGTATTCCTTTATAGCAACACTAAAGAAATTAACACAAGAAGAAAGAATAGAGGAAGGGAGGGGAGAAGGAGGGAGGGAGGGAGGGAAGGAGGGAAGGAAGGAAGGGAGGAAGGAAGGAAGGAAAGGAAGGAAGGAAGAGAGAGAAAACAATGGAAGGAGAAAAGGATGGAAGGAGGGAGACAAAGAAAGAAAAGTGTGAAAAGGGTTCCACGTTTCTAATGATGGCAGGAAGAGGCATTACTGTCTATTAGCATTAGCTCTGAGCCCCTTGTTACTGGATATAGGACACAATAATATTTGAATTGTGGGTTTATTATTATTATTATTATTGAAGGCTTAGTATAGACACTGTTAAAAAATGCACTCTCATATTCCTCCTCCTCTGCTCTAGCTCCCTCAGGTGTTTTAATCTTTCTCACCCTATGTTTCACTTACAAATCCATGTAAATGGATAATTATGCATTCTGTTTTCTCTCATCCAATACTGGTCCAATGACTCAGACCAAATTTCTGTACCTTCATGCTCTCTTACCTTAGAATGGGTCATCCCCTAGAAGGCTTTTCAGCTTCTAACAAAAATTCCTAGAATCTCTGTCCTGTCAATTAAAGCTGTTTCTGGTCAGTCACACAGAACCACATGAAGTAGAATAGAACCAGAAAGCCCTTTACAGAAGAGGTTGTAGTGGAGATGAGTCTTTAAGAATCAATTTGATTTTGAACCCACAGATAAAATCTGTGATTCACTATTTCCAAAAATGTGTTGAGTGTGTACATTCCAGTGTGTCTCAGAATCACTTGGTAGAGGAACATAAAACATATTTTAAACGTGGCTAGCTAGACAAAATTCAATAAAATTTCCTACACTGTTTTATTCACTTTGTTTGAAGTTTGTCCTAGTGTTACAATAAATAATTTAGATTTTCCAGAAAAAAATAACAACAAAATGAAAACTCTCATTTGGCTGATTTTTGCTAAACCTAGAGGTTTTATCAGAATTATAGATTTTCTGTAACATTCTTCACATATGCTGTTTCACTGTATCTTTATTTCATTTGTTAGAGCAGAAAGTGGAATATAGATCTGCCTGTAGCTCCAGGAATGGATGGACAGGTGAAAATAATCTGTCATTTTGTCTTTTTGTGAATGAAATATTGATATAAAACAGGCAAAGCCTTGAAAAGAAACATCCAAATTGGGTCAGATCACAAAATATATTGCAAAAGATTTATCTAATGCCTTTTCAGTAAAAGAAAACAAACAAGATATGAAAAGAATAGGAATTTCACCTTTCCAGTTGAGTGCAGACAATTATAGTTAGTCATTTCCCCAAAGACTTTGTCTTCTTACTTGTTGTCCTCCAGTCTTTTCTCTGCTTTCAATTCCCTAATACAACTTGCTCGTTTATATTTCCATGAATTTGCACTGTCTATTTCCTATTCCCAAAATGCCCTTCCCCATTTTTCTTCCTGAGAAATTCTGCATTATCCTTCTACACCCTCACTCATGTATTACTTCTGTGTCATCCTCCTGATATTCCTCCTCAGTTGGTAAAGTATAACAGCACTCTTTCTGTCTGTGTTTGCATTGCATGTTGATCATACTTCTATTGCAGAATTTATCAAACTGCCCATGAGCATCTTCAATCATCAGTCTTCAAGTGCTTTCAAGGGAGAGACAATATCCCCAGGTCAATTAATTCAAATCATTTCTAACCCCTATTTCAAAACATGCAGTATCTTCAAGTCCTCCAGTTTGTTGGAATCAACTTGTCCTTGTCAACTTAAATAAAACTGGTTCTACCCTACATGAAAAAGGAAAGTCAACATCTCCTGCTAAGGATTTTTCAAGTGGGGGAAGAATTTGTTTGTCTTAGTAACTTCTCTTCTGATTTTCCCTTTTCACTGAATTCTCCATCTCTTTTCTTCCTTTCCCTCCCATTCGTGCTGCCCATTTGTAACACTGAACAATGATCTTACACCATTACTCCTCAAACCGCACTGTTTCAAGTCTATATGCAGCCACTTTGCAAAACAATTGATATAGGGGAATGTTAAATGGCTTTACTTCAAATTTTGACACATGAATGTTTTATATAACTAATTCTTCGGAGACCCTAGACCTTTCCCACTACCTCCATGGAAATCCGACTAGTGATCTCTTCAGTCAAGTCCAACCTTCTGTCTTATTGTTGTGTCCTCTCTTCCTTGATTTAATTATTTCTTCTCCCCAATTTAAGCCCCCTCCACCCCCAAAATGTTTGTTCTCTTTTTACACAGAGCACTGCGTTCTGTGCAGCTTCCTGGCTTCCTTCTGGCTCTCTCCTTAGAACTACCACACACTGTCACAGTTGTGCTTTAACTTATTTTATTAAACAAAGACAGTCTCTCTTTCAAGAGGAAATTTGAAACCACCTTCTAATAGGAATGAGCTTCATTACTCCAACAACACATGTAATGGGTATCTGATTATAAGACCCTGTGCTAGGCTCCAGGAATGCCAAAGTGAATAAAGGATTGTAGGATTGTCCAGCTCACAATGACTTAATAAACTAACAGAGTTCTGTTCATTTTTGATAACCACAGTAAATGGCACGTAGGAGGAACATAATAAAAGACAGTATAGGGAGTAAGAAAAAAAAGTGGAGTCCTCTTCTCAGGTGGTTAAAATTAATGTGGATTTTATCTGGCATCATGTGAATGTGATCAAAAGCAGAATCGTATAGGTAATGAACTTTACAAGTTCCTTTCTAACCTCTAATGCATTGATTCTTTTTTTCACCAATTCCAGACAAAAATTTAACCTCATAAGTATACAGTAGCTTTGGAACTAGAAATATTTTTAGTAGTAAGTTATACATGAATATAATGAAACTACAGAAAATACAGTATCCTTGAGAAGCGTTTAAGATATCTTATTAAACAATTAGCTGAAACTATTTTAAAAGTTACTTAGGAAGGAATTAAGAAGCATACATTAAACTTCCTTATTAAAAAAAGAGTCTGAAAGCTGGTCATATAAAGCTTAGGCTGATACTTACATTATTTAATAATAGTGTAAATCATTTCTTGAATGGCTTTATGTTTTTGAAAAGGGACTGTGCTGAAAATGAATGAAGTCATAAATGAACTAAATTGATTTTTTTAATATTTAACTATTTCTGGTGTAACTATATTTCTGAGAAAAGACATGTAGATTTCCATTTTGTGTACTTCATTAAGAGTTTTCATTATCACTGCCATCATACTAACTGGCTTTTTAATATCTGACGCCCTTCACAGTTATTTTGGATTCTTATTTGAAAACTACAGGCATGCCTTTGTTCTGGCTGTACTCTTTATCCAAGGTATAGGGCATTGAGCTTCCTTAAGTTTCCTTTACCTAAAATGTGATTACAGGATACAGGAGTCTATTTAGTGGAAAGCTAATGAAGCCTAGCGATCATATCCCCTCAATTGAAGTACCCCCTTCCAAGACCGTTAGAAGGTTAACATGGTCATATGTTTTTCATAACATTGGGTTAACATGGTCATATGTTTTTCATAAAGTTTGAAAGAGTTAGAATAGTCTAGCTACAGGTAAAAATTCTATTCCTAGCATCATTTCTATTACACCTTTTCTTCCCCTGAAATAGCCAGAATATGTTTGGTAGACACATATTTAATTTGGGTTAGTATTGCTATCTGGTATAGAAATGGAATCCAGGAATATTCTTTCTGCTTGCTGTGCTAATTCACCCAGGTTGTGTCATAAAGATCCAGGTCTAGAATGATATTACGATGTGAATACAGCCTGTGATACCCAGCACCAGAAGTACATTAGAATAGAGGAGAAAAATGGATTGAAATGTGTGCAGCCCAAATTTAGTCTGAAGAAAACTCTACTAGCCATCATTTATGTAAGATTTTAAATAGAAGACTGGTTCTCAGCAAAGCCTAGTTCTAACAGAAGTTCTCTCTTATTGTGAACAAACTTGGTAATTCAGCTTACATAATTATGAACCCACTTTCCAGTTTTCCTTTATTGATGGAAAAATGCAAAGTACAATTTATTAAAATCCCCATATTTGTAACACAAAAATCTGTAGTAATACAGGAACCAATTAGTAAATCATAACAGTTTATATAGGAAAGAAATTCAATAAAAGTTTTCCAAACTTTGACAACAGTCTTAAAACATTTACAGCATTGCCAATGATGAGTTTTGAAACTAAAATTTTTCTAAATTTTATTAATAAGAAAGAAGTTTTTGAACAATTATGATAGATGAGTCTGTTTTCCCCAGACTAAATAGTGTTATAAAACTTTGAGTTCAAAGAGAAAACAGACAAAAGTATTACCAAAAAAAGGCATTTTTAAGGTGTAAAAGTAGTTAATAAAAATGTTTTTTATTTTGTGATGGATTTATCGTCAGTCTTTGAAAATTTGTCAATTATTGTGATTTCTTTGCTTTTTCAAAATAAATAGCAACTTTCTTATCTAATTTTGTATTCATAATTTATATTATTTTATTTAAAGAGGGTCTCCAAATTTTATAAGGTGCAAGACCCACAAAATCTTGATCTGCTGAGAGCACAGTATAAGGAACTACAAATGTCTCCTCTTTGCTAAATCCCAGTCTTTTCCCCACACTCAGACTAGGTCCCCACACACTTGGTTCTCTCTTCGTTTGAAATTTAAAACAGCTGCCACCAATTCTGTCCCTGTGCTTTTGGAATCCTATTCCCAGAAATATACAAGCAAGTGGATCATAAATATTCAACCCCTACTTGTTGTGCCAATGTATTGTGGCCAAAGAACCCCTCAGACAGGTGCTCATGCTGATAAGATTACACATATCTTGTTAAATTTAAGATACTTCTAAAGCATAGGTACAGGAGAAAAACTCCTGAAAGAGCACCAAGACTTTTACACAGAAGCAGCTATGTATACACATTACTCTCTGCTGCACAAAACTTCATAGCCTTGAATGAGAGAAGGAAGTAAAATTCAGGATTAATTTTTTCTATCTCAAAGATTCAGCTTCGTGTCCTTTGAATACTCCTGTCTTCAAAAACACCAAAAAGATAAGTATAAACTTTGCTCACTTTAAAGATGAAAACCATGGAAAATTTATAGAGGGAAATAATTGGAACTGTAAGGAGTCTAAGAAATTTTACATAATTCTTAAAGTCATTTAGTACTGATCTGAGTAACCAGACACCCTTACTAGATATAAACTGAAACTCAATTTTATCTGCTCCTCTCTTAATCCCAAACCAGATGTGGAAACATCCATTTCTTCCTCTTTCTAGGTTCATGCCCCCTTTCCTTCATAAAAGCTCATCTCCCTGCCTGAAACCCACCCACAAGACCCAAAGAAACCATGAGATCGGGAAGTAGTTTCAGCTAATATCAAATACCTGTTTTTACTTATTTTTTTCTCATTTTATTTCTTATTATGAAACTAACATATGCTCATTATAATCTTTAAAATATGAAAATAACAGATACAGAATATAGACATAATCCCAACCCTTAAACCTACGTTTCATATTTTCAATTTCCTTTCTGACACATCTACATTTTTCAGAAAATTGCAATAATGTGATGTATACGATGTTATAATCTATGTCACATATTTAATGTGGCATAAGCATTTTTATAAGTCACAACCTTTCTTTTGAAAACCACAATTTTACAAGAAGGATTAATTCCATGTTGATATCTATCAACTTCCTTTTTTAATATTGGTTTATGATTTCCAATATTATAATCATACTGTTATATATCTTTTAATTGAATACTTGACCACATTTCTTAGTGGAATAAATTTAGAAAAGTGAAATTACTTAGTCAAATTTCTAAGATAATCTTAAACATTAAGAATTTTATATTATTAGCATATAAAAGGTTTTTCTAGTTTATATGGCACTTGCTGTGGATGAATATACCTGTCATTATTCTCTCTCCCACAACTGATATGTTTTTTGCCTATTTGCCAATTTCATGAAAGCATTATACTTCATTCTTGTTTTATTGTTTATTACATTGTATATGTATGATATTGAGCATTTTCCTAATAATTTTTGTCATTTATATTTCTTCTTGAATTGATAGTTTATGTTCCATTCCTATTTTTTTCTATTATGCATTCAGTGGGATTTAAAAAATTGATTGAAAACAGTTTTAAAATGATTACAAATATCAACTCTATCATGTTTCATCAATGTTTGTGTGAATTAGTGAGAAATTTAAATAATAGGTTCGGGGTGGACACTTGATGCCTTTTTCACTTGGAATCCTACTTTTACTGGTGAATTATTTGCTTCTCTGTGTTCTTCTGTTAGCACCCATCTGAATGAAACTGGGCTTTTTTTTCATAGAATGGGTTCCTTTTGCTATTTCCTCACTTCATTTTTTTTGCAGAATCACAGGTAGCAAGGGAAATTTTTGGATGGAGTTTATGAAAGTTAGGTTTTTCTATTGTGAGCCATTTGCAAGAATTTTTTTTAAAAAAACAGACTAAATTAACATCAATTAAATGTTTTCTCAAAAAGGCAATTCTTATCCTTTTTAACAATACAAAGGTAAACAGACTTCCACCTTAATTGCTCATTGTTCTGTACCTCAACTGCATCAGTTTCCTGGAATTCTTTTGGGGGATTATTCATATGTTCATTAGACAGGAATAAGAATTATTTAAAAAATTATAAAGAAACAATTCTTCTTAAAGAGTTATGGTAAATGAATCAACTAGATTTCAATTATAAAACTATGTTCCTACTTCTTTCAAAAAGTGTTCTAATTGCTCTTCATAAATTATTGTTTATCTCAAAATAAATATAGTTGCCCATAATTAAGACTGTGTTTTCCAGAAGTGTCACCTGTTCAGCAGGTGTCTAAAGTCTTCATTGGGGTAAACTGATGGATTCAGGAGTATTAAGTATTTGTTTTGAAGATAGTCTGTTGCACTCTAGAGCAGAGAGGACAAAAATCTAGTGCATCCAGACATGACTCTCCTGGGCTGTTGCACTTACACACTGCAAGGTTGGAAAAACATACTTCTACATGGCCAGAAGCATGAGTCCAAAATTTCTGTTTTTAACTAAATGATATGGTTAAACTCTGTCCACCTCTAGTTCTATTCTGCCACCTCAGTGTTCTATCAAAACAATTAATTGAACACTAAGCTATACAAAAGGTATGTCTGATGAGTTTAATTCCCAAATTTACCCTTCTTTTTCAGGTAGCAGTCTGCAAAAGGTAAGTCTCAAAATGTGTTCCTCACCTCTCAGTCAATATTCGTTCTAAAAGATACCCTATTGCTTTATACAACCATTGTTAACAACCTCTGCAATTTCAAACCATAAAGGCACTAGGGCTACTTGTGACAATCATGTGGAGATACTAAAAAACAGAAGAGTCCATAAGTTGTACTAGAAGTCTTCTCCTAAGATAGAGATTGAGAAAGCCATGACCCAGCCAAGAGAATAGGTCCCAGAGTGCTGAAATACTGAAAACCATTCTCCCTGCTCTCTTATATGAGAAATTGATTATTCTACCATATGTGGGCCTATATCATACCGCCATGGCACCCATGCCTTCTTGGCCAGCCAACAGACAGTTGAGAATAATTCTGTAGTCTCAAACTTACGTGACCCTACTAGGCTAAGAATAATCTGGATTAATTAGCTGAAACTCTTCATCCTGGGTAGGTTCACTGGCTATTTGACCTAATGTGGGTGACACATTCTATATCTTTGCTGTCAGTTTAGTTAACACCTCTTCCTCATCCTAAATGTTAATGAGATACAAGCCAAGTTGTATAATACCATGTCTACTACTATGCTTCCCCCTCAACGAGGCAAGTGTGCTTCCTTGCATCCATGCCAAGGAGTGCCTGTAAGGATCTAGAGGAGAATCTTGAAAAACCTCAAATACAAGGTGAATATGTCCTAGATATAGAACATATTGAGATAAAGCAGAAAGGAAAAGACCAGTTGTCCACATAGGAAGAACAGGAAAATGGGACATACTGACCAGCCTGGAAAAGGAAAATAACCGGGATTGTTCCAAGGTATACCAGATGGTGGCTATCTTACCCATTGGTGGGCACAGGAGTCATGAAACTGAACAAGACACACATTTGCAGCTGCAGTGATGTAGTAGACAAAAATTTAACTAGACTACAGCATTGTTTCTAAGTTTCCTCCAGTAATCAAATAAACTTTTTAATTGGCAAGAAGAAGAAATGTCCTGCTAAACCAGCTTGACCTCAAGTCAGTAGACCACTTCATCAGCCGGTACTGGGTGGTGCCAAAAGACTGGGAATTGTCAAGCAAATTGTTATATGTTGGAATGGCTACCAGCCCTCCTATTGCTGCATCTAGAAGAATAACCGGTTACAGAGGGAGGGTAAGTTAGTGAGATACCTCAAAGAAATTGTGGCAGCCTTAATGATAATTCCATACTATCTTCTGTACAAACCCAGCATCTTGTGGTTTCAGGAGTTCTTTCACCAGGTGAAGAACGATCAGATGTCCATCATCACCACACCTCATATAGCAGTCAAAAAATACTTATTTGCTTCCTAACTAGGGTGAGGACAACCAACACAGTGCCATTAGACTAGGCCCAGTAGTTCATGGAACAGAGAGGAAGTAACGGTTATGGCCACCAATGCCAACCAATGACCTAGCAATGACCACCACTTGGCATGTGAAATCCAATCTCCCCAACCATTCCAAAGAGTAACAGCAGAGAGTAAAAAAAAAAAAAAAAGGAACAGTGTGGGAAGGAACTGGAGTTGTATTACTCCAGTTACCTTCCCTTTCCTACTGTTGGAAGGACACTGATATATTTGTGTAGAAGATGGCTCTGTACAGAGCATGAATAGCATTAGACACGGAGTCCACCACACAGCTCACTAGTAACATATGCATTTTCTATTAATAAGGGGCATAGAGTACTCCTCAGATCCAATGTTGAGTGGCCAAGGACTGTGTTGCCTTGGTGTAAAGAGGGCTCTGTTATTTGATTGGATGAAATTTGGGTATCCCAATAGTAAATAATTAATAATAATAATAATAATTCCTTAAATGTTTGAATTGTGAGTTGGATTTCTGTAATAGACAATCATACTTCAAAGCTGAAGCAAGCATTTACAATAGTGGTCAGTATATATGCTAAGCCATATTGGATGTTAATAACCCAATGACTTCAATGTGCCAATTCTGGGCTGGGCCAACCCCAGAGGATGGCACTGCAGACTTCCATTCACCTGTGCAGCTAAGAAGTAACCTGATTTTGTTTGTTTGTTTGTTTGTTTAACATTATGCAGTTCTTCATAGGTGATGTATCATTTGCCTCAGGCAAGCTGAGTGTGGATACTGTACTTACTCATGTCTATGTTTGGTACACACATACCCTCAGTGAGCAAGAGGGAGAACACCAAATAGATTGGCCTCTTCATTTTAGATTACAGAAACTATTCAGTAAATATTTATTGTATGAATAACCCTATCATTGGAATGAGCTTCTTCCAAAGTCTCAAAATTAAATAACCTCAGAAAAGACAGTCAAGGACCTCGTGGAATACACTCCAACTTTCGATGAATAGTTTTATTGTCTGACTTAGACTGAGAGATTAAGAATTACAGGAAAATCATTTGAATGGTAATAAGGAATTTCATTAGACATTACGCTAAATTAAGGACTCAATAACTTGTTAAGGAGGACAATATTTGGGGGTTCATGAGCCTTCAGGTAGCTCTCAAATCTCATGCTGCCTAATGCAGAGGCAAATACTTTGACATATTTAATGTTATATTTTGAAAAGACATAATTTTCCAAAACCTTCTAGTAAGCCATAAGGAGAACACAGAGGGTCATTCAAATAAGATAAATATGCATATAGTAAATCTCATTTTGCGTACTGAGTAGTTTATGTCTTTCTTGACTGTTGACAGTGCAGTATTTTGTCTGGTGTATGCCCTTCTAGGAAAAGAAAAAATAGAGTTCAACCAGTTTGGCTATAAATTCAAAATTAATAGAGAAATGAATTATTCATCTATATTTATAGCCTGTGTATAACTATCTGGCCTTTGCCATCATAGCTATTTTTCTTATGTGAATTAATAATGGATAAGAAGCTAGTTGCCTTCAAACGCCAGAACTCTTGCTTATTTTTTTATTTTTTAAACTCTAAATTAAAAATAAAATGTATTATAAGACTGATGTATCATACATCATTTCTGATATCCTGCAGCTATAAGATCTCAAAATTCTCATCTTTAGTGCCATTAGGCTGCAATGCTATTAATGTCTGTAAGGGATATAACAATTAGCTTTGATACAGTATCTCTCTCCTGACTAGATGTGGTCATGGAATATAAGATTTATAGGCATATACAATTTCTAGAAATATAAACTCTCTGAAAGTTACTGCTAGAAATGAAAACAAACAACTTTAGAGCTCTTATTTATAATATTAACACATTATATTTGAGAGCTTTGCACAGTGAAAGAGCCCATGATTCGTTAATATCTCATCCTCAGGAATTTAAATCGTAGTCCTTTTTTAGTAATAAAATAGCTGTAAAATTCTGTATCTGATTAATTGCATCTGCCTCTTTATCTACCTAATGGAAAAGGTGTAATGGAAAGAATTTGTGCCTTTGATTCAACTAGACCCCTTTAAATTAGATCTTTCACCAATTAGATGTATGGTTATGATCAAATAATGTCATCTCTCTAATACAATTTTTATCAAATAAAAAAGATTCTAATTTATAACTTGAGGAGAATTTATGCAGATGATATATAATATAGCAATTAAATGTGATGATTAAAGCCTCAGCTCAGTTTCTTTTTTTGTGAGGACTTACTCTGTTCTTTCTATTTCTACCTCTACCAAATTGAAATATATACATCCTCTCAGCTACCTTCTAGAAAGTATTAACTTCCTTTTCAATATTTTTTCCAAGCCTTAAGTCTCGTCTATTCCTAAAATTATTTTATCTTACCTTAGTTGTTTAATTTTAGCCAATCTAAATCCTTTTCATACGAAAGCGAAATAGAGACAATAAATTAATAAACATGGCCTTGCCTAATTCAAGGAAAGTTGCCATTAGGAATAAGAAATAGTACATCTTGTGGTCCCAGGTTTTGTTACCTGTCACAACTTAAAGAAATGTTGTTAATATATACTTTAATAATCTTTCTGTTATTATATGTATCTCTTGACTCATTCTTTAACTTTGCACATTTGTTGTTTTTATTTGCTTTGGGAAGTTTTATCTGACTTAGACTCAGGGAGTCTTTATCCCTTCTTGGAAATTAACACATTTAGAAATTTGTATTTTTTTACTCAGCTTTATTAAGGTATAATTGCCAAATAAAAGTTGTATATATTTATCATGTACAATCTGAAGTTTTGATACATTGTGAAATTATTAAATAAATCTAATTAACATATCCATCACCTCACACACTTGTTATTTTTGAGGTGAGAACATTTAAGATCTGCTTTTCCAGAAATTTTCAAGTATTAGTTATTATTAACTATATGTCATCATGTTGTACAACAGACCTCCAGAACTTATTAATCCTAACAGAAACTTTGTACCCTATGACCAACATCTCCCCATTTCCCACTCACCCCCAGCACCTGGGAACCACCATTTTATTCTCTCCTTTTGTGAATTCAACTTCTTTGGATTCCACATATGAAATTAGGCATTTCTTTATAATCTGGTTTATTTCACTTGACATAATGTTTTCCAGGTTTATCCATGCTGTTGCAAATTATAGGATTTTCTTCTTATTTTTAAGGCTAAATAGTATTGCATTGTTTACATATACCACATTTTCTTCATCTATTCATCCATCCATGAGCACTCAGGTTGCTTCCATATCTTGGCTCTTATGAACAATGCTTGTAATAAACATAGGAATGTGGGTATCTCTTCAACATACTTATATGATTTCCTTTGAATATATAACCAGAATTAGAATTGCTGGATCATACAGTAGTTCTATTTTTAATTTTTTGAGAAATCTTCAAACTGTTTTCTGTAATGACTGTACTTGTTTACAACCCAACCAACAGTGTACAAAAGTTCTGTTTTTTTCACACCCTCTCCAACACTTATCTTTTATCTTTTTGAAAAAATCTTTTCTAACAAGTGTCATGTAATATCTCATTGCAGCTTTAGTTTGCATTTCTATGAAGATTAATGATGTTGACAATTTTTGTATATATCCGGTTGGCTCTCTGTATGTCTTCTTTTGAGAAATGTCTATTTAAGTCTTTTGCTCATTTTAAAATCAGGTTATTTGTTTTTTATTAAGTTGCTTGAGTTCCTTATAGATATTGACTATTAACCAATCCCTTTTCAGGTATTAGGTATACAAATATTTTCTTCTGTAGGTTGTCTCTTTACCCTATTGATTGTTTCCCTTTCTGTGCAGAAGCTTTTGAGTTTGTGTGCCATCCCATTTGTGTATTTTGCTTTTTGTTGCCTCTACTTTTGCGGTCATATCAAAAACTTCATTGCCCAAGCCAATGCCAAGAGGCTCTGCCCTATGTTGTCTTCCAGTTGTTTTATAGTTTCAGACCTTATATTTAAGTATTTAATGCATTTTGAGTTGATTTTTTATATACTTTGAGATGAGGGTTCAATTTCACTCTTTGTATGTGGATATTCAATTTTCCCAACATGGTTTATTGAAGAAACTCTTCTTCTCCATTGTGTGTTCTTGCCACCTTTGTCAAAGATCAATCGACTATAAATGTGTGCATTTATTTCTGGGCTCTTGTCCTGGCTCTGGCTAGTCTGGAGCCTGGGGTCACTGGGGCTGGCCTGCCACTAGAGTGGGCCAGAAAGCTGGGTTCAAGGGTGCTGACCGGATGCCTGGAACTTGTCTGTAAACTTGGTTGGGCCTAGAACCCACATCTGAGGGGTTGAGCCTTAGGGCCTAGGGCCTCTGATGTGGGCCTGGAGGCCTGGCACCAAGTTGCACTGGGGCCAGACTGGTTCTGGGGTCCATGGCAAAGTCTGATGCCCACTTTCCTCTTTTTCTCCAACATAGGAGTATCTTTGTCCATGCTGTCCTACTTGGGTTTTGAGGAGGAGTGATACAGAACACATAAAACTGTCCTTTTTACCCTCTTCTTTACATCTTTCTTATTTCTGTACTATACCCAGGTGCTATATCTCTCATCTGGGTTTCTTAGCTCTTATGAAGGCATTTTTGAGTGTGGATAGTCGTCTGTATTGATGTTCTGTGAGGAGCTGATTACTGGGAAGTCACATTCCACCATCTTGCTGATGTCACCAAACTAAATAAATAAAATAGAACAATTCTGAATGACAAAAATTTAGATAACGTGACTAATCCAGTAGCAAAACTGACAGCCAAACAGCCTTAGTAAAAGTATGCAGTGCTTAAAAAAAAAAAAAAGGAAAGAAAGAAAACATTAAATGGCCTTACATGAGAATATATTCTCAAGCTATGAGAAGCTCCATCATTGTCTGATATACTTATATCAAACTTGATTCACACATTTATGTGGCCTACTAACCCCTGTTGGCCTTTCACCTCAACAATCTAACTACTAACCACAGAATAAAGCTAAGTATAAAGACAATCACTTTGATGGAGGTCACTTTTTTTTAATCTACCCTATGTGCAAACCTGTTTCCCTTCAGGTTTCATCAGCACCATGTGGGTCTCCATGAAGACAGCAGGATGCATGCCATCCTGGGACCAAGGAGAGTAGGACATATAACATAGAAAAGTAGAAAGGCTTCACTGTGTTGTTGCTGGAAGAGAGAACCTAAGAGAGTGGAACAAGAAGAGAGAGAGAGTCATAATTGGGGTTCTTTTCAGGGTACAAAACAGAAATGTCAAGTGTGTAGACAACAAGTCTCTAAGAGAAGCCCTATACATGAAATGAGGTTGTAGCAGAAGAATGACAGAGGGATGTAGCTACAGATATAAACTAGAGATATCTTTCAAAGAATTCACCAATGAAACCATCTGACCCTAGAGTTTTCTTTGTGTGAGTGTGTGTGTATGTGTGTGTGCTTCCTCTAGTATCCAATTCCAAGGTTTTAACAAATATAGAACCATTCAGTTTTTCTATCCCATCTTCTCTCAATTATAGTAAGCTGCACTTTACAAAGAATTTTATTCTATCTTAATTGTGAAGTTATTCCCATAAAGTTGTTCATGATAGTCTCTTTTTAATATTTTAATGTCTGTTGGATCTCTAATACAATCCATTTGTAAATTTCTCATATGCGCAATTTTTGCAGTATCATATTTTTGATTAAGTAGGGGTTTATGACTTCTGTTGATCTTTTCAAAGAGCCAACTTTTGACTTTGTTTCTTTATTTTGTATTTCACAGATTTCTGCTCTCATCTTTATTAATTACTTCCTTCCCCTTTGAGTTTACTTAGTACTTCATTTCTTTCTCTTAAAATAGAACTTTATATCATGTGTGAGTAAACTTTTTGTTAAAGGGCCAAATAGTAGACATTTTAAGCTGTGCCAAATGAGGATATTCTATAGATATGTATATCAAGGGTATTCCATACATAATATATAACTATTTAAAATGTGGCCTTTTAAAAATGTTAAACAAATTCTTGAGTAGGAGACGAAGAGGCAGATAGGAGGCAGAGTTAACGTTCATGTCCCACTTGAACAGACAAAACAATGTGTGAAGATTCACACTGTGAACTTTTGTTCCAAGAATCAGCAAAGGAATATACTAAGAAAACTGAAAGAAGTCACGGATCTTTTGAAAGAAATGGCACACCACTGCAAAATGCCTGTTTCTTGAGATAGGCAAAATCTGTGAGTTCCCAAAGTGTAAGAGGGGAAAAGCCTGCCTCCCAACATACATCCCCACTGGGGAATCTAAAAATCCAGATCACAAGAGAAGGACTTCACCTCACCTGGAGCCGGAATGAATTTAGGGAGCTGTGTGAAACATAAAAGTGGAAACAGCCATGGTAAGAGTCTTGTAGGCGCTCCCAGTCTCCAGCTGGAGCCCTGGGAAGCCATCCCTGACTGTTTCTCACAGAAGCCCTCAGGGAAGGCAGCCAGCGGAATTAGGGAGGGGTCAAGGGCAAAAGAAGCTTCTAACTGGATATTGTGATAATTTCTACTTAGCACAAACTTTCTTGAGCAGAATCTTGGGAGCAAATGGGAACTGCTGAAGATATGAGTGCAGGAGCCCTTGCCATTGTGAGTAGATGGGGAGGGGTGTGGCTTGCTTTCTCAGTGGGGAAGCTTATGGCCTGAGGTAATTCTGAATTCTGCGTGCAGACTGCCTGAACCTAAACTCTGTGCTGTTATCGGGACACTGTGGGAGTGAGACTGGCCTTGCCAACTGTGTGGGAACTGGAGGAGGCCTTTTGCTACTGGCTATCCCCCACTTTCCTGGTGAACAATACTGCTAAGCAGAGCCAACCATACAAGCCTCTGGAACATAACCTCATTGGCCTAAGAACCACCCTCCCATCACCCACAGTGGCCCCAGCAAGCCCTCCCCTAGAAGAATCTGAGCTCAGGCCCACCAAACTCTGCCTCCACCTAATGGTATTTTTCTATCCACTCTGGTAGCAGAACACAAGATATAAACTCTTGAGGGCTTTATGGCCCTGCCCATTGCTTAAGAAACCAGTATACTTGCCCTCACCAAGTAGGGCAAGCTCAAATCCCACTGTTAATACCACAGGTGGGGCTCTCTTGAAAGTACCACTTCCTAGCTGGAGGCCAACCAACTCAGTCCATCACAGCAACTCAGGACAGAATAGCACTGCTCCTAGGAAGGAGTAAACAACAGTTAATACCACCACCTGCAACACTTTGGCTAACTAGAGGTCCTGAGTTGGACCACATGACAACTTCACTGCTAGCATAACCAACATTTGAGGAAGCCAGCACACTAAACCTATCCACAACCCAAGGATTCTCACAGAGTCTATGTCACTCCCCTGCCACCTCCACCAGAGCAGGTGCTGGTATCCACAACTGGGAGACCTGAAGACTGGTCGTGTCACTGGACTCTTTGCAGACATTCCCTAGCGCCAGCCTGAAGCCTGGTAGCCCCTCTGGGTGGCTAGACCCAGAAGAGCAGTAACATTCACTGCAGTTCAGCTCTCAGGAAGCCTCATCCCTAGAGAAAGGGGGGAGCACGACACCAAGAGATGACCCTGTGGGAAGAAAGAATCTCAACAACAGGATTTAAGTTCCAGATCTTTCTGCTGGTGGGTAGTTTCTCACAGCAGAGACACAATTGCAGTGTTGGGTGCAGTAGGGAAAGTCTACACCTATAGCCCAACAGGCAGACAGCCCCTGTAACCATAAAGGGCCTTGGAAAAGGGGTCCTTGTATACCCCTGGCAGTCCACCGTAGACATAGCTGGGGCTTCTCCCACAGGAATGCAGCATGGATTCACCTATAGACAGTCTCTCTGGAACAATCCAGGGTGAGTACAGCTCCACAGGAGAAGTGCCCCCCAGATTCAGGCCTGCACAAGGGGCAGAGTCACAATTTCCCCCTACTTGGAACATCAACTTTCTGATAGATGAAAAGAGGTGCCTGTCTGATCTGAATAGCTGAAACACTAGGCCAAGAGTGAGTCTATGAAGTAAATCGCTTTCCTGCTGATCTGGCAGGGGAGCTAATGTAGTTCCCACTGTTCACTCTGATACAACCTCAGCACATCTAATTGAAAGCTCCCCAGCCACCCTCATCAAGGCTGGGACCTCAGCCCACCATTGAGTGTTACATCTACCCACCTGCCTTAGCCACAAACAGTGCCTACCCAGGGATACCTCCCTTATTGGCCTGAAGCCTGAATCATCAACTCAGTGAATAAAACACCAGGAAAAAATTAAAGTCTACACCATGAGAGAAAGAGTTAAGCTTGAAGAGATCTCTGCCATTCCAACTCCATCGGGGACAGTGAACTCATAATTTCATTAAAAAGAAAAACTCTGAACAGACCAATAACAAGTAGTGAGATTGAAACAGTAATTTTTTAAAATGCCAACAAAAAAGTCCAGGACCATTCACAGCTGAATTCTATCAGACATTCAAAGAAGATTTGGTGGTACCAATCCTACTGAAACTATTCCAAAAGATAGTGAAAGAGAGCATCCTCTCTAAATCATTCTATGAAATTAGAATAATTCTAATATCAAAATCAGGAAAGGACATAGCAAAAAAAGAGAAAACTATAGATCAATATCCCTGATGAACATAGATGCAAAAAATCCTCAACATAATACTAGCTAACTCAATCTAACAGTGTATCAAAAAATAATAAATCACAGTGAAGTAGGTTTTATACCAGGGACATAGGGATGGTTTAACATACACAAGTCAATAAATGTAATACATCACATATACAGAATTTAAAACTAAAATCGTGTGATCATCTCAATAGATGCAGAAAAACCATTTGACAAAATCTAGCATCCCTTTATAATAAAATACTCTGCAAAATTAGCATAGAAGGGACACTCCTCGAAGTTTGATGGATGACATAAATAGAAAAATATCCAATGCTCATGAATAAGTAGAATCAATATTGTGAAAATGATCGTACTGTCAAAAGCAACCTATAGACTCAATGCAATTCCCATCAAAATACCATCATCATTCTTGACAGAACTAGAAAAAAAAATTCTAAAATTCATATGGAACCAAAAAAGAGCTCTCATAATCAAAGCAATACTAAGAAAAAGAACAAATCTGGAGTCATCACATTACCCAACTTTAAGCTACACTATAAGGCTACAGTTACCAAAATGATATGGTACTGATATAAAGATAGGCACATAGACCAATGGAACAGAATTGAGAACCCAGAAATAAACCTAAATACTAACAACCAACTGATCTTTGACAAAACATACAAAAACATAAAGTGGGAAAAGGACACCCTATTCAACAAATGGTGCTGGCATAATTGGCAAGCCACATGTTGAAGAATGAAACTGGATCCTCATCTCTCACCTTATACATAAAGCAACTGAAGATGGATCAAAGGCTTAAACACAAGACCTGATACCATAAAAATTCTAGAGGATAACATCAGAAAAACTCTTCTAGATGTTGGCTTAGGCGAAAAATTTATGACCAAGAACCCAAAAGCAAATGCAACAAAAACACAAATAAATAAATGGGACCTAATTACATTAAAAAGCTTCTGCGCAGCAAAAGAAATAATCAGCAGAGTAAAAAGACAAGCCACAGACTGGGAGAAAAATCTTGGCAAACTATGCTTCCTACAAAGGACTAGCACCTAGAATCTACGAGGAAAGAATTCTAACAAATCAGCAAGAAAAAAAACAAATAATGCCATCAAAAAGTGTCCTAAGGGCATGAGTAGACAATTCTCAAAAGAACATACACAAATGGCCACCAAATATATGAAAAAATGCACACTAATTACCAGAGAAATGAAAATCAAAACCACAATGTTATACCATCTTACTCCTGCCAGAATGACCATAATAAAAAAAAAAAAAAAAGATGTTGGCGTGGATGTGGTGAAAAGAGAACACTTTTACACTGTTGGTGGGAATGTAAACCAGTACAACCACTGTGAAAAGCAGTGTCAAGATTCTTTAAAGAACTAAAGGTAGATCTACATTTGATCAAGCAGTCCCACTGCTGGGTATCTAACCAAAGGAAGAGAAGGCATTATACAAAAAAGATACTTGCACAAGCACGTTTATAGCAGCACAATTTGCAATTGCAAAAATATGGAACCAGCCAAAATGCCCGTCAATGAACAAGCGAATAAAGAAAATGTGCTGTATACATACCATGAAATACTACTCAGTCACAAAAAGGAACGAAATAATGGCATTCGTAGCAACCTGGGTGGAATTAGAGACCATTATTCTAAGTGAAGTAACTCAGGAATGGAAAACCAAACATCATATGCTCTCACTCGTAAATGGAGCTAAGCTATGAGGACTATGATGATGCAAAGGCATAAGAATGATGCAATGGACTTTGGGAATTTGGGGGAAAGGGTAGGAGCGGGGTGAGGGATAGAAGACTACACATTGGTTACAGTGTACACTGATTGGATGATGGGTGCACCAAAGTCTCAGAAATCACCACCAAAGAACTTCTTCATGTACCAAAAAAATAAAAATAAAAATAAAAAGGAAAACTAAGTAAAACAAAAAACAAAAATTAAAATTAAACTTCATCACTTCTAAACAACATATATTGAAGTCTTGCTCTCTCCTTTTCTTCACTCATATGGGCTATTATTACTATTAATTATCATAATTAGTTTATTTAAATTTAATGTAACTATAGATATGTATGGATTTAAATACTTGTAGATATGGTTGGATTTACATCTCCCATTTTACGAATTGTTTTCTGTTTATCTGTCTTTTGTTCCTGTATTACTGATTTCTGACCTATTTTCAAGTTCATTGAATATTTTTTATAATTCCTTTTTAATTTATCTTTTACCTCTTTGTTATACCTCATGGAGTTAATTTTTAATGGTTTGTTTCCTAAGTTTTCCTGAGGTACTTAGTTTTAACATTATACATCTTCACATAAATGTGAGAATCTTGAACTCCCCCCACTTTATGCTATGGCTGCCATATGTATTACATCTACATGTGTTATTAACCTCACCATATGTTATAATATTTGTTTTAAATAACACGCATTTCAAATAAATAGGAAAAAATAATCATTTATATTAACACCTATATTTACCCTTTCTGGTACCAATTCTTCCTAAACAGGAACTTCCTATCTTTACATTGGTATCATTTCTCTACAGCCTGAAAAACATTACCACTTCTTATATTGTAGGTCTGCTGGTAACAAATTTCATCATTTTAATTTATCTGAAAATGTCTTAATTTTATTTTTATTCTTGAAAGATATTTCACAAGATATAAAATTTCCAGTGGGAAATCAGAAGTTACTTGTATTGCTCTTTCCCTGTATTTAAGGTCTGCCCTCTAAATTCTCCATTTATCTTTGTTTTTTCAGCAATTTGTCTTTGATGTACCTAGGTGTGATTTTGTTTTTCCACTGCTTGTAGTTTAATGCTTATATGAAATCTATAAATAAATGGTTTTCACCAAGTGAGAAAAATGTAGTCACCATTTTTCTAAATATTTTTTCCATCCACTCTCTTCTCTGATTCTAGGGTTTCAATCTCACAAATACTAGATATTTGATACTGTCCTAGAGATCACTGATAACTCATTCTTTTTTAAAAGTTTTTATTACTTTCTCTTTTTCAGGTTGTATAATTTCTAATAATCTATGTGCAAGTTCACTGACTATTTAGTCATCTCCAACGTGACCTCCAACTTACCTTATTTTTCTCATATTATCTTTTTAGGCATAGAATTTCTATTTGGTTATATTTTATAGTCTCTATTTCCCTGTTGAGATTCTCTACATTTTCATGATTAACAACTACATATTATTTTACATGTTTGAACATAGTTATAACATGTGTCACATCAAGATTGATTTTCATTAATTGCATTTATATTTATGCAATTATATATGCATAAATATATATGCATATATATATGCATATATAGTATGATATGACTTTTCATTTTTGCTTAAATAAGTTGTCAATTAGTATCATTTTTTAACTAAAATGTTCTTTATCAAGCGGTTGTATTACTATTACAGCACAAATTAATAGCTATACCAAGGTTTACTATAGATACATAATTATGAAAATATTTGGTATTTTTATATTCCACACTTGAAAAACAAGAGCAATGAAGCTGCATCAATGAGAAAATGGGATTTAGGCACAATTCTGCCACTAAGTATGTGCATATGCATAAATACATTTCCCTTTGTAGGCCTCTTTACCCCATCCACAAATCACGATGTTGGTACATAATTATCTGGGGTGCTTTTAATACATTTGATACTTGGGAACAACCTCAGACCAACTGAAACTGGATGTCTGTGTGTATTACCTGGCTTTGTTTGCTTTTCTTTTAAATACTGCTAGGACAGCTTCCTGTATAGCAAATTTTGTGAACCACTGTTCTTAAGGGTTCTTTCTGTTCTACCATTCTGAAATTCTAATCACTTCCTTCAAGTTATGATATTTTAAACATGACATATTCTTATTTTCTGGAAATAATGAGCTCTAAGTTATCTATATTTCAGTTCATCTTGGTATATTATTATATTTTATTGAATTATATATATATATATTTCAATATCCTGGGCAAAGCACCCAAGGCAATAGGCTTTTCAATACTCTCCAAATTACTGATTTTCTTTTCAAAGTTGCTAAGTCAAATGAATTAATCATTCAAAGCCATATATTATTGTATGAATTCTTATCATGCTTTATATTAAAAATATCCACATTAAAACTTACATGTTTCACTTTAATGTTGATAGTGGTTTGATATGTAATGTTACATTTTCTGTAAGAAAAAAAGAAATGCGAGTATCAAGAATTCGATTCCACCAAATTATCCTGAAATATATTTAGTAAAAATAGACTATTTAGCCACACTGAGAAAAGTAAACCTGTCTGATTATTTTTTAGCCCTTTGGCCTGGGTTCTAAGATTAAAAATGGCAAATACTTTGGGCCTGGATAATAATTCTAATCTCCCAATCTGCTAGTAGACATTAAATAATTGATTATGGCCTACTGTCCTATTCAGTTCGAATGCATCTTTAAAATCTCCCAATACAGGAAGTCACTATGAGTCTCTCAGACTTGAAACTTTAGATGAAAACTTTTCGTCATGTCTAATGTTAAAATAGTCTGTTTTACTGTTGGTGAAACAAAGGCTTAAAGATGTTAAATAACTTAAATAATTTATAAGTGGAGACACAAGGATTTGAAATGAGGAAATTTAAACCAACACTCTGTGGTTATCTGATTGCCAAACTAGAAGAGAAAGAGGAAGAGAAGGGAAAGGAAAAGGAGCAGAGGGAGAGAGGAAGGAGGGAGGAGGAAGGGAAGGGGAAGGGGAGGAAGGAAATTATTAAAGTTGAGACAAAACCGGAGCACCCATTTTTATGCTTTGTATTTTGTTGTGCCCAAGTGCCTCCCCAAGCTTCAAAAATTATTTATATATCAAGTGCATGGAAAATTGACTATAAAAAGTTCAGCAAGAACATGAACATGGATATGTGGTTCACGTGGCAGAGAAATCCATAAACTAGGGATTGAAGCCCTTAAATTATTTAACATCAATAACTCACTGTACTTGCTACGAATCCTAGCTTAACAAGCATATTCTTGAATGTGAATGTTTCTTATCTATACTGATATCTAGGAAGTATAACAAGTATAACTTTCTTACTAAACATCTAAATCTTACATTAGAAAATAATTACCACTCAAACATTTTTAAAGAGTGTGTGTGTGTGTGTGTGTGTGTGTGAGAGAGAGAGAGAGAGAGAGAGAGAGAGAGACAAGGAAGGAAAGAAGGAAAGAAAGAAGGAAGAAAGGGAGGGAGGGAAGAGGAGGGGAGGGGGAAGGGAAGGAAAGGAAGGAGGGAGAGAGACAGAGAGAGAGAGAGAGAGAGAGAAGAAAGGAGAAGGGGAAGGGAAGGAAAAGAAGGAAGGAAAGGTTTTGACCAAAACATTCTATTCAGTACTTCTATTGAAAAAAAACTATAGTAGTTCTACAGTGATTTGGGAAGAAAAAATATAAAAACAACTTCAAGGTTTTTTATCCATAAGTTAATGACTAGAAACGTGGTGAACATTTTAAGCAGTTTTTCTCTAGTATTTTAATCAAATTAACCTATTATTTTCCAATTATATAATCAAAGACTTAAAAGAGTAAAGGAAATCTCTTCTAAAGGGATATGATTTATTTTTTGGCATAATATATTTGTCTCCAAAGCACTGTTTCCAAGTCGCAATATGGTATTGCATGTATTTATGTAATTCTGCATGTGCAATTGAAACAAAACTCACTTTCATTTTAAGTGAATATTTTTACCTTCAGTTTTAGATTTTTGCTAGCCAAATATATGTTAATAACATGTACTTATTACTTGGGACAGAGCAAGCAGTCTACCAATCTGATAATTTTTCTTAATAAATTTTTGTATCCAGAAGTATTACTGATCCATGCAAAGAGCTGATTTCTCTTTAAAATTATGTTCATCAATTTCAGATATTTATTTTTCTCTATATAAATATTCACTGTGGACATTGGTAAACCTAAGAAGAATAAAATAGTTGCATGCTCCCATTTTTGTATGCCACAAGAAGGTCAGTTTTACCTACCAATATTAGAGTATATCTAGACAGAAATTTAATATTATTTAGTCCAGAAAAAAAAACTTATAAAACAACTTGCAAATTAGTGTTCCCTTAAGGTGACCAACAACTTAATCTTGGAGAGTGAAAAGAAATCCAGATTTAATTTATTATGAAATCCATATACTTGTTAGAAAGGTACAGACCAGACTGATTTTTATGACTGATTATTTGGAGAATGCGTTTAGAAACTGACCAAATTGGTAGAAATATATTAATTTTGACCAAGCGAGTTTTATTAACTCCATATTATCAAGCATAGTCAAAAGTTGACTGTATAATCATCTAATCTGCAAAACCACTGTGAAAGGCAACGTTATCTATTGCAATGGTAATGAAAGCATTAGGGAACTATATGGGGAAGATGGTGAGGTACTCTATTCTCTTCTGATTTTCAAAGTAATGGGATTTGCTATTTTAGTACAGAAGAAAACCTCTGGGTCTTTTGGTATTTGACTGAACTTTAAATACTAAATCTGTCTTGGCATTGCTGAGCCTGTATTCTCTGTATCTGTATTCTCAAAGCCATGTCTACATTGGAACAGTAAAAAAGTGTTTGACAGTCCATGATTAAGAAAATTTGAAGGTCTGCTACTGCCCTCCTTCGTCGCACTTAGTAATGTTAAACTCACACTTCTGAACTGGTAATTTACCTATTAAATGGAAATTGCCCTACAGTGCGCAATATTTATGAAAAGGACTGCTAAGCAGATTGATTATTTTAACAGTTACCAGAGTAAGTGTTTAAATTACTTCAGAAATGAAGCTATTTTCAAACTTTCAAAACTATATACTATTGCATGCACGATGCTAAATTGTCATTCATTAATCAGCTGGTCTCAAATATTAATTTTGTCTTTTTTTGTAAGACTGATGTTCACACATTGTTAAGTATAGAATTACCATCAGGAAATATGGTAATACTGACCTGTTATGGTCATTTGATATTAATGTTCTATTATAGACATTATTATCAAAGCAAAATTCTTTATAAAATAATTAAATCAGTTTACAGAATGCCTATGATGACTACTAAATGATTATTAGAGGTGATAGTATTCAATGGCCCCCAAAATGTAGTTAAATCAATGCATTTTTACTCTACTATGTCAGTATAGATTAATAGAACACTTCTGAAAGGACTATGGTAATAAGTAGCAAAAAACAAAGCTTTTCATGCCCTTGCTATAGTTATTCCATTTTGGGAAATTTCTCCTAAGGAAATAATTCAACAAAGGTGATAAAATATATTCCTAAAAAATATTCAATGCAGCTTTACCCGTAATAGAATAAATGTTCAACAATAGGGAAAGACTTGCTAAATCATAGTACATTAATACATTTGGGATATTACATAGCTATGAAAAATGATCATTATTAAGACTAAGAGGAGACAACTGTTTGTAATATAATTTCAAGTGGCACAAAAGAAAGCATGGACTGTGATTTATACTTGACATAAACTGTGTAAAATAAGCTATTTGCAAATAGCAATAGGAAAGTAATAAGCAAAAATGAAAAACACCTGCTCCATTTGTATGAAAAGTCATAGGTAATTGCTTTTCATTTTATTTCTTTATATTTTGTACTGTAGCACTGTAGGGTGAATATGGTTAACAACAATTTAGTGTAGATTTTCAAAAAGCTAGAAAAGTCTATGTTTGCTACACAAAGAAATGATAAATATTCAAGGTGATGAATATGCTAAGTACCTTGATTTGATCATTACACATTGCATTCATGTATCAAAGTATCACTCTGTGTCCCAGAAATATGTACAATTATTATGTGTCAACTCAAAATGAAGAAAATAGTGAATATAACAATAAAAATAAAGACACCAATAATATATCCCAGGTGAAAGACCACAGTACAGTCAGAAAAGCTGAAACAATTATAGTTTTTTTGAAATAAACTATTGTTTAGAGAAATTTTAGATTCACACCAAAACTGAGCAGAAAGTATAGGAAGTTCCCACAGCATCTGCGCCCACACATGCCTAGCCTCCCTTACAAGCAGTATCTCCGCCAAAGTGGTACATTTGTTACAGTTGTTGCACCTACATAGACAATTCATCACCACCCAAAGTCGATCGTTTACATTAGGGATCACTCTTGGTGTACATTCTATGAGTTCTGACAAATGTATAATGACAAGTGTCCACCGTAATAGTATTATACGGAATGGTTTTATGACCACCCAAATCCTCTGTGCTCTGCTTATTTATTCCTGCCTCCCTCCCTTCCCCGTGTAAGCCCTGGAAATCACTGACTTGTTTTTTGTTTTGTTTTGTTTTTGTTTTTAAACTTTACTAGTTTATTACGAATGATATAACTTGGGGAACAGCCAAAGGAAAGGGATGCATAGGACAATTTTTTAAAACTGTGATATTTTTACTGTTTTCTCCTACTGGTTTTTAATGAGTGTTAAGAGTTCTTTGTGTATTTTGGATAATAGTTCTTTACTTTTAAAGATTTTAAGACAGATGGGCACATGTGCCTTTGCTAAAACAACACTCTGTAGATGAACCTCTTAAAGAAGGTATTTGCTATGATTGTCTGGCAATGAGGTTGCATGTAGAAAGAGGGAGGTTAGAAGATATGGTTATATTACCCGCTCTAATCTAACTATAGTTGTCCAGTTTTTGTTGATATGCTACTTAGTATCTTAATTAATCCCTTAGGTATATGAGTTCCATAATTGATGATAATAAGCACTCAATCCCACAAATTTCATACAAGCTACAGTCTACTAAGAAGATATGGGATTCAATTGTTAGCAAATGGGATGTGAACACTGCTTTCCAAGTCTTTCTCAGTTTTGTACACAACATGCTGGGATGGTGGCTGTGGTTACACATCTGTGAAGGATGGAAACCCAGCACAGAGGCTAAAGCCTCTTTCTTATGCTTCTAGCACATATCCCTGAATTCTCAGCACAATTATATTATATAGTTGAAAAATAAATGTAGTATTTTACACCAGTTTTCTACTATCAAGTTTTAAATGAGATTTCTTAAGAAACCACTAACACCATAGTACTACTCTTCACAGCTTACACAATACTAAATAATGAATGAAAAATTATGAATAATCATTAAATATGCACAGCTGTTTTGCAACCACATAGTGAGGACCAACTCAAGGGCAAGTTGATCACAAATTTCTTATTTCACAAGACCAAGAAAGATTGATAATAGCAGGCTGGGGAGAATCTAATATATCACCTATCAACTTTATCATTTATAAATAAGGAGTTTGGAGGAAACCATATCTCTTAGCATTACTATTAAATCAAAACCTTATTTTAAATTCATTTAAGGGAATTCACTGAGGCCTGTTTACTGTGCTAACTACTATGCTAGGTACTATAGATAACAGATGAAACAACACTACACTGTGCACTGTATTAACTACCATAAAAAAGTAAAAGAAAATAAAAGGGTCATAGATTCAGAACATATGTCAGAAGTAAACAGTGGAAAATATATATAGTGAACTGAAAAAAATTTTCCAACACTGAATTCTATATTAAATAAAAATATCCAAGAAAGAGGGTAAAATAGTTTCAGAAAAACAATGTCATGATCATTTGCCACAAGCTGACTCTATCAAATAAACACCTAAACTTACTGAAAGAAGGTCTTCAGGGAAAAGCAAAATGATTCCATGGGGACTAACTGTTTAAAATGTACTAAAAGAGTAGATCTTAAGTATCTTCATCATACACAGACACACACAATAAGGGTAACTACATATGATGATGGAGGGTTGATTAATGTAATATGTGTATGTGTGTATAAAATCATCACACTATGCCTTGAAAATATATTTATATATATATACAATTTTCCAAGAATGAGTGAAAATTTGGGTACTGGTCTTTTTAAAAAGGTTAAAGGTCATGAAGACTTTATTATTTCTCTTCAGAAAACATTTAGTGAACACCTCTTCTGTGCTAGGTATTTCAGTACTAAAAGGTGAGCATTCCCTAATAGAAAGAAAAAATATTATAAGGCGATGTTCATTTAACAAAAAAAGTGCAGGAAGAAATGAGAAGCCATAAAAATGAAAATATATTGGCAAATTTAAATAAGCATTAATTATATAAAGAAATAATAACATTTTGTGTTGAAAAATATAGAGAGATGTTTTTAATGTCCTACAATTATCACCTCTCGGCCTTTTGGCTAAAATCAAGTGAAATGTCCTATAATGATAGAATATAAATCAGGAGCAGTAATCAATGGAGTTAAAGTGTTCTCAGTTCTTTGTATAAGCAGATAGTAAAAGTACCAAATAATATTACACTTTTGCTGAGTGAGGGATATTGGTTAGTATATAATCCCTAAACAAATAGAAATACTGTGTTATTCTTAAAATATAAAAAATAGAACAATAAAGATAACTTTATTGTTTCAATAAATATATTGTTTCAATAAAACTTCATTGTTTCAATAAATATATCTTTCTCTTTCTCCTTCTATCTCTGTTTCTATTTCTTTTCTTTCTTGCCTTTTTGGAAGGCCTTTCCTTTCTTTGCCTTCTTCTCATTTCTTCCTGCACTTTTTTGTTAAATGGACATGGCCTTATAATATTCTTTTTGGAAGGCAAGAAAGGAAAGAAACAGAAACAGAGATAGAAGGAGAAACAAAGTCTATAGATAGTAGATTTACAATCAAATATATCAATAACTAGGTTAGAATTAAATGAGATAAGCATTCCATTTAAAAGATGATACTTGCATACTAAATCAAAGAACAAACTTATATATTACATTTACAAGGAACATATTTACCAGACGAGGAAACAGAAAAATTGAAAACAAAGAATAGAAAGAGCATTCAAGTAATAACTGAAAGGAAGCAGATGAATCCATATAAGTATCCATCAGAATACACTTTAAGGCAGAAGGCATTACTAAAGATTTTTTTTAAGTCATAATTAATGAGAAAATTTTCATTTACCAGGAATATGTAACAATTCTAAATTTCCTCAAAATAGATGAAGGAAAAACTTGACAGAACTATAAAGAGAAATAAATAAATTCCAACAATGATGAGAGATTATAATACATGCATTTCAAGAATCAATAATATATCAACAGGACAAAAATTAGTAAAAATAGTCAAGATTTGACCAATACAATTAACAAAATTTATCTTATTGAACATGTTCTCTTTTTTCAGTTACACAGGAAACAATTTAAAGAATTTAACTTAAAGATTTTTCTTAAGTTGAGAAAACACTTAAAAGTTGATCATTATTAGGTCTTAAAACAAGCTTCAATGAATTTTAAAGAATTAAATAATACAGAGGACATTTTCTGAATGCAGAGTAATTAAGCTACAAATCAATAACAAAAATATAGCTAGGAGATCCACATATGTTTGGAAATGTTAAAATGTACTTCAAAATAAGCATAGGTCCAAGAAGAAAATAAATTAAAATTGGAAAATAATTTTAATTGTATATTATACAGTTAGAATGAAATTAGATTAGTAATTAAGGCAAGCACTTTAGTTTTAAATGTATATTTTAGAAGAGAAGAAACTAAAATTAATGGAGTATGCCTCCAAAGAGAGTGAAATAAAGCCAAATACAGTAAAAGAAAGGACACAATCAAAATAAGATCAGAAATAAAGTACAATAATGTAAAATAGGATAAAATATCAAAAGTTGGTTACTTATAAAGACTAATAAAATTGGTAAATCTCTCATAACATTTTTCAATAAAAATATTTCTGAAAATAAATCATTAAATGACTAAAACTAGTAAGACAATACTAGTAACAACCTTATTCCAATTAGTTTGAGAATTGATTAATAAACAACTTCTCTGAGAACTATGTTACCACAGCGGACTCCAGAAGAAATTAAAAACCTGAATAGTTCTATGGAATTAAAGATAATTAATCAATATTTAATGTGCTTAACATGATCTTCAATACAAAAATCTGACAAAGAAAATAAGAGGAAGATTATAAGCCCTTTTCACTCATGAGCACTGATGAAAAATTAAACAAAATATTAGCATATTTAATTGAGTAATATAAAATTGAAAATAGATTATTAGCATTAACAAGTTGAAAATGTATATGACAATCATAAAATTCTGTGTCATTCATGGGGGAAATAAACTTGAAAAACAAAAACTAAATCTGGAGAGGATGAATTATATAAATCTTAGAAAAGAAGCTTAGCAAAACCCAGAGTAGACATTATTCTTAACAGTAATACCATGGGAATTTTCTTTTAAAATCAGAGAATAAAAATATCTTCCATTACGAATTCTATACAACATTGTTCTGGAGGTTCTAGCCAATGTACTGAGCCAAGAAAAGGAAATAAGAGGTATACAACCTGGAAAGAAGTAGACAAAACTGTCATTCTCAAATGATAGAATTATGTAGAAAGAAAATCTAGAAGAATCTATCAAAAAATTATTCAAATTTATGAGATTATGTAGCAACTTTGTTGGATCAAAATAATTCTTCAACAATCAATTGTATTTCTGTATACTAGAAATAAATAGAAGATAAAAAAATTTAATATGGTTTATTTACAATAGAATAAAAATACTGAATACTTGGGAATATATTTAATAAAAAATTCGAGATGTCTTTGGGGAATATTATAAAATTGTATTTTGAGGCTTAAATAGAGATATATAATTTTTTCATGACTTGGAAAATTCAATACTTGAAAGATGTTCCTTCTCTCCAAATTCATCTATAGAATGAAAGCATTTCTAATTAATAAACCTACAGGAATTTGTAAAACTTGACAAGCTGATTCTCATTCCATATGGAAATGTGAAGAGTCAAGAACAGCCAAGACTATTTATTGCATAGTGTTAGAATCCCCTAGGATACTTTCATTTTCCTCTTTCCATGACTCCTTTGTGATCTTAAGTTTACTTTTATTTCTAACAGCCAGTAGCTGCCATTCTGTTTTTCTAAGACTGTCCTTGTCCCAGCACTCAGAGGGGAGAGTCGGGACACCAATTAAGCAATATTAAGATAGCAGAACATAAAGCCAAGCTTCCTTGTCAGTGCAGACTTATCTATTAGACAAGTAGGCACTGTGCTTTGGGCCCACAATACTTTGTGGGGCCCCACAAATGCTTTTACTTTATTTTAGAATAAGAAGAAAAATATGAATATAGTAATAATGAATCCATAAAATAGTACATCCAGTCTGAATTCTATTCATCTTTCTACAAATCTAGTCATAAAATATAAATTTAATTCCATTGTATATATGTACCACATTTTCTCTATCCAGCCCACAATTGTTGAACACCTAGATTGATTCCATGTCTTTGCTATTTTGAATATGCTGCGATAAACATGCAAGTGCAGGTGCATACATACAATGGAATACCACATAGCCATAAATAGCATAAAATTATATCCTTTGCAGCAACAAAGGATGCAGATAGAGACCATTATTTTAAGGGAATTAACACAGAAACAAAAAACCAAATGCTGCATGTTCTCACTTATAAGTGGGAGCTAAACCTTGAGTACACACAGATGAGAATCCAAAAGTCAGGAAGGAGGAAAGCGGGAAAGGGCTGAAAGAAAAACTTCTTATTGGATACTATGTTCACTATCTGAATGATGACATCAATAGAAGCCCAAACCCCAGCATCATGGAATATACCCTTGTAATAAACCTTCACATGTACCCCTGAATCTAAAATTAAAAAAAAGTAAAAAAGCATGACTCCAACAATCAAAATATATATATATATATATATATGTATATATATATATACACATATATAAATTATAATGCAGAGTAATACCCCGTGGGTTCAAACTGAAACTATCTTCTATGCGATTTGTCTGCTACTGCTCCTTTCCTTCCGTATCTTTCTCTGTCCTGTTTTCCTCAGTCCATTATCAGTTTCCTAATCTGCTTCTGCCAGACCCTAACAAGGGCAACATTCTTTAAGAAGAACCAATGAAAGAAGTTGCTCTCACCAACAGTTATAAAGATAAGTATAAACCATAGACCAATGGGAAAATAATAGAATCCAAAGATAGACTAACCCATATGTGTACATGATCTTTTTAAAAAAGACGCCCTCAGATCAATGAGGAAAGAATTGTCTTTTCAATAAATATGACTTAGAATATTAGATACACATCTCTGGCCAAAGAAACCTAAAAATTATATGGACAAGCAAAAGCCCAAGTCTCTACTCAAGAAGGAAAACAATGTGACTAATTCATGCTATCTGATATCAAGACTTAGAATTCTTAGACTGCAGTAAGGAAGACAATCTTGCATAGGCTCACGAATAGATAAATAGGCTTAGAGAAGAGAATGAATCCCTGCATGTATGAAAACACAATGTCTAAGATAGCTAGCATTGCAAATCTTAGATTAAAATATGCAATATTTAGTATGTTGCTATGAATATATAATTAACACCAAAAAAAATGAAGTAGAGTTACCACTTCATGCCAACTACAAAAACAAATTTTTTTAAACTTCATGACAAAAGTATAGGAGAAATTTTTATGACTTTGGCATAGGAAATAATTTATTAAGTATAAACAAGTAATACATAAAATAAAATTTAACTAAGGTAATAAATTTAGAACTTACCATTCATAAAACAAAACTTTTTAAAGAAACTGCATAAGGAAGTTTGAAAAAGATAAGTCTCAAAATAGCAGATAGTAATTCCAACCATTATTACTGATGGAATAATGGCCAATAATGGAAGCTGTAGTTTTGTTCAGCACTTTCCTTTTTATGACTAAGAATTTAATTTAATTTTTTAAATGGAAGCCAAGTAAATTAGTTATCATTTTTGTTTCATAAAGTAATATTTTTGTTAGATTTGTTTACCTATATAAGGAAGGAAATCAAGAGGAAAAAGTTAAGTAATCTACTTGAAAACGAGGAGGAGTCAATGATATAAAAACATGTATTTTACAAATAAAACATAAATGGCCAATAAATGAAAAAAGTTTTATTATTCCTAAATATAGAAACATATTTAAAACATGGGAAATATCATTACTGTCATTTCACCGGTAGAAAGCAAAAAGTCTGACTATGCAAAGAAGTGAAGATTTGTTGCTGTGGGGATACTCATCCACAGCTAGTAGGACTATACACTGTAAGCCACTTTGGATAGCTCTTTGGCATTACCTTGCAAAGTTAAAAATGTGCATATTCAGTACAATCTTAATTTTAGGTATATCTTCCAGAAAAATTCTTACACATTTGCCAAGAAGACAGGTACAAGAATGTCTATGGAAACATTGTTTGCTATAAGAAAACACTAGAAAAAATTCCACAGACAGGAAACAAAAATTGCTGTATTCATATGATGGAATAGGATACAGCCTTAAAAAATGAGTGTGCCTAACTATATCTCACATGGATAAATTTACAAATGTAATGTTGAGTAATATTTAAAAGCAAGTCATAGAAAATTCACTCATTTCCTTGACTTAACACCAGATTACTTAACTAAAAATAAACATAATAATACCTACCTAACAGAGTTATAGTGAAGATTAAATGAGACTATATTTTAAAGACATAATATATGCCTAAAGAGGTTTGTCTGTTTCAACTTCATATTCTCAAGTATAAAATAATAATGTAAAAATGTTATGGAAACAACATAAAGTAACAAAATTGTTTTGAAGAAGTGTAATAACTTTAAAATCACTTCAGAAGCATCTCCTCATGTGCATGACGGATATAATTCTAAAAGTTATAATTCATGTAACACACAAGCAAAATAAGAGTTTTTATTCAATGCCAGATATTTTTATAATAGATAAAATAATAATTAATCTGTGTAATAAGAACAGCTATTTCTAATGGCACACTTTGCCATGTATCAGCCACTGTCACAAGAAACTGAAATTCATTACTTCATTAATTCTTGGAAAAACTCTCTCAGACAGCTAACTTTGTTAGTCCCATTTTACAGAGAAGCAAATTAAGGGTTTGGAAATACATTATTACGTTTTCAAAAATCCAAATAGTTTCATTTCCTCAATATAATCACTGATAGCATTTCAAAGTGATTTCTTCATTCTTTTTCACTAAACATCACATATCTATTTAATGTTAATTAAGTTTCTCTATACAGTGTTTTTAAGTTGCTTAGTTTTCTTAATGTTGGATGTTTAAGATTCTAAAAATTGTGGTCTCTAGTGATAATGTTGCAATGGCTATCTTGAACAAAAAGCTTTATTTTGTACTATGTTTTAGATCATGTACTTAAGATACTTCACGACAAACATACAGATTCTCATTTTTTAAAACTCTTGATGGAAATGGGCAATTTGTTGTCCTGAAAGTTTGTACTAAGATACAGTATCATCATATATACATTCAGATTTGAAAACACATATACATATAGATGTGCATATATGTGATTTTAATCATTTCATTCAGTATGTTTGTAATATTTATTTTTTGAATTACAATTTGAAAACAAGCTAATCTGGTATAGGTGAATGAGAATTTCAGAAATTACTGCTAACATCACCCAACAGAAAGAAATATTTTCAACTCTCTGCTAGAACGAAAATCATGAAAGCAAATAAAATTTCACCATGCAGAGATTAGAGAAACAAATTTGTCCAAAAGGATAAACAAAAAACACCACTGCTAATGGAAGAGACAGGTGCTAGACAAGAAAATGAGTGTGTAGAATTGAAGACTAAGGTTTGTTAGGTTTCAAGAAACAGATGACTAAAAAACATGAATGATTCCTTTTTCAGGGCTATCAGGGTGAAAGGACTTATAAATGATCAATTTTCTCGTCTGTGAAGTTTGAAATGAAGGATTACTTCAACTGACAGGCAAAGAAAAGAAAGGTTGCTGAAAAGAAGGCACACAAATTGGTAGTGGGAAATGACTGTCAAAAAAATAGCATATTTTTGAGGAAATTTTAAGACTTAAAGAAAATTAAATATCAATGGAATAGTTATAATCTAAAGAAAAAAGAGTCAAAGCCAGCAAAGGTAACACACCCTTTTCTTCATTAAATTTACTAAATATTTTTACTACCTAATAGATGGGCACTAAATTTGGTCCTAAATAAGGACTACATTAGACTTTGTCCCTGTACTATAGAGGTCGAGAGACTATTTGGAGAGTAAACAAATAAAGGCAATTATAACACTCGGTGATACATCTTTAGTAATTACAAAAAAATGCACACAGTTAAACAAAGGAACGACCTTATTTAAACTGTGAATTAGCAAAGTTGACAGTGTAGACTTTACTTTTAAGATACTAGCCAGTGTTATCAAAAGTGAGCATATAGACAATTTTATTCACTTTTTGTGGCACTATAAATTATTGCCATCTTTCTAAAGTTGAATTTGACCCTGTCAAAAACAGTAAAGTATCTGAGATTTTACCTTCCTTGCAAGTGAAAATTTAGCCTACAACATTCCCATGGAGGCTGGCCAAAGTTTTGAGACTCCTGTAGCCACAATATTATTTCTTTGTTGTGCCAGTTCTCCAAACCCGAACTGGCACAGAGTGAAGCAAAGATCACATGACACATGATATACCATAAATTGTAACACAAGAGAGGAACCTGAACCTAATTATTTTATGCTGGACAGAAAGTGCCCATTGCTCTGGAGGAAGACATTATCTCTCTCTTCCAAGATTGCTCACCACACAATCATTTATAAAAAACTGGAGCAAAAGTAGTGAGTGATTCCTTATAAGACATAGGGGTATGTGAGAAACTCCTGAAAAATTGTCTCCCAACAGATCCTAAATATAAAAAGTCTTAAAAAATATCTGACATTGCATGAAGAATGGAATTGTTCAATCAGAATCAAATGAATCAAAGATCTTAATATGGAAATAACAATTTCAAGTATACAAGTAATTATGAGGAATGGGAAGAGGTTTGAGAACACCACTATGTGACAAGTCCTTTCTTGTCACATCAGCTTCTAAGACTAGTGTATAGTCACATTACTTGCAAAGAAGAGAGTTGTTTCCATCATAAAACATCTCAATGTCATACTCAGTTATTTATATAGCATAAGTGATATATTGCAGGCATCTATCCCCCATAAATGTAAGTTTGTTTTCTACAGTTCTAGACAGACTGAGTATACCCTGCTAAAAGCATTTCATAATAAAGACTTCCCTGCTGGTAAACACCATCGTTGGGTTTGCAATCAGTTATGGTATTAATATATTTACTAGAAGGTTGGTGAGGTAGGTGTTTTTATTATTCTCAATTTATTTAACTTCTTGGCACCTCCGTTTTCTTACCCACAAAATAAGAAAAATAAAAGCAGATACCTCACATTTATTACATAGAATAAGTGAGTCAATACCTGAGTATGTAAAGCATTTAGAATAGTGCCTTGCATATTCTAAAACCTATTGTTAACACTATAATTGTAGAATAATAAAGTCCTTCTAGGAAAATGTTTACAATTTTTGATATATTCACACGATAATATATAATACAATCTTTTTTGCTTTTGAAAAATATTTAATGCAATAAGACAATGCTCATAATATATGGTTAAATAAAACTAGTTGGACTCAAAACTGTATTCCCATATTATACCTGTTTTGCAAATATGCACACATGTATATACATCAACACTCATTAAATATACTAAAGGAAATCTCCAAATATTAATGCTAACTTTGGTTAGGAGTAGATTCTTCTTCTTTACATATTTTCTCATAATTTCCATAATAAATTTTTAAAGGATTAGACTCTGTAATACTTTTATAGAAAAACCTAACACTGTTGAATGAGTTTTTTAAATAACTATTTAAATTCCATTTGTAATAGTATGCGAAGCTGATAAACCCAGGTGGATTCAACTTCCCTTCAAAATGCTTTTTTACTAGTTCTTTCAAATTACACAAAGCACCTATTTAAGATGAAAAATATTTGCATTGTATTATTATAGTGCTTCCACTTTTTAATTGTTTTTGTACCCCCAAACCAATGCCTTGTTTATCCCATTTATAATGCTTTCAATATATGAGACCCATATTAATGTCTCCTACACATTACAGAAAGTGTCTTCATTCATTCAATAGAAGATGTTTCGATGTAGATTCTCTTTATCCTCCTTCACAATTTTGAGTGCTATAATACAGGGGTTCCCAACCCCTGGGCCTTGAACCGGTACTGGTCCGTTGCCTGTTAGGCTGTTAGGAACAGGGCCGCACAGCAGGAGGTGAGCAGCTGGCAAGGACGCATTACTTCCTGAGCTCCGCCTCCTATCAGATCAGCAGCGACTTTCGATTCTCATAGGAGTGCGAACCCTATTGTGAACTGTGCATGCAAGAGATCTAGGTTGCGGGCTCCTTATGAGAATCTAATGCCTGATGACGTGAGGTGGAACAGTTTCATCCTGAAACCATTTCCTCCATCCATGGAAAAACTGTCTTCCATGAAACCAGCCCCTGGTGCGAAAAAAGCTGGGGACTGCTGCTGTAATAGATAGATCTTTGAAGCTAGACTTGTGTAAAAAACCAGAGACTCCATATTAACTATTGTATTAATATTATGAAAAGAAGCTTGATTATAAAGCTGGTCTGTTAAATTCAGAGACTATGTGAACTGGTTATTTGACTTCCTTTATGTTTTCTTGACAAAAGTAAGTGAATTATTTATTTACTTGGAACTGAAGGAAACCTTAGGAATGATCTAATCCAAAATAATACTGATTAGGGCAATCCAGCCATCACGCAATTAAGTGTAGTTTATCTGACTAGGTAGCATTTTTTTTCTCTTTCATTGTATAATGCATTTCCTTCATGAATCTGCCTGAAAGAATTAAGAAGGACAGTCTTCTCGGATATAACATGACCATTCTTGCATTCTTTGGTGGGTAGGAACTGAATAGCTACAGATCTCTGCCTCTTCCAAACAGCATGAATACTTACCTTTCTCATCTTACAGATGTGAAAACTGAAATCCTGGGTAGCTAGGTGGTTGCTTCAGACAAAAATCATTAATTAGAGATAAAGTTAGGTCAAAGACCATGTTTTTGACATCCAAGTCTATGATATTCTCAGTAAATTAAACCAACTCTTTTTAAAACATTATCAAATTAGCTATTTTAATCAATTATAATAAATATGCATACAAGGTTTTTTTTATTTTTTTCTGAGACAGCCAGGTGTAAATATATAAGCAAATAGACTGGCTTAATGAGAAATCTAATGCAGTAGTCCATCTATGAGGTGAGTCAGTGTGGTTTGTGACCAGGGATGGGAGATATTGCAGCTTCAATAGCTCAAATGTACTGGAATTTCATTCACAGCTCACTGTATTCAGAATCTGCAAGAAGCATAAATTCCAGGCCTGAGTAAATGGTGAAAAAGAGGCGGTGCCTTGGCTAACTTGACCTCAGATTCTAGTAGAGTTTAGAGATGCAGGGATGCCTAGACTGCAAGACTGGGAAAGGCAGATTATAACTACGCACCATTAAGAAGAAAAAGAAGAAAAAAAATAATTTGTTGACCAAAAATGTACTTTGCATTCAAGGATTTTTTTTCATAGATTCTGTTAATGAGTGAGGAATACTTAAATATTTAAATATAATTTTTTGGTAGTTCTTCAATAATACTGATCACTAGGACTTCTTCAGAATATTTTGATAGGCTACTCACATAGCCTGAATAGTAAAATGTATAAAATGGCATTGCCTATGGGCTTGCTTTATGCAGAGGAAAATTAAAAACATAGCCAGCTGCCAGATGGAAGATGTGTTTGCAGAGCTGAGAAAACTGCTGCAGAGCAAACACTGCTTAACAATAGCAACTGGGGCCTGCCTTGGCACTTGTTATCTATTTGCAGTCATTCATAAAACTTTAATGTTTAGACATTAAACAAAGCACAGAAGTGATATTGCTATGGTCTGCTAAGTGTTAGTGCAGGATGAAGACCTATCGTTAGAGTTATGAAAAACCACAGCAGCACAAGCAGCTATAATGATTTAAGAGAATATGACTGCTGCTTTTCTCTCATCTAAGAGGATAGAGCTAACTGGTAAATATACAACTTACTTCATATAACTTATTTATGATGTACATGGAATCATATAACAGCATCATGCTATCATGTTTTTCAATAATATATTCTGTCATTGGCTAAGTTTATGGAAGTAGTCTCAGAAATTATCTTTCCCCAGAGTATCAATATGTAATAATATATGACCCTTGTTTGAGCTTAATTTGCCTAATTACCATGGATTACTCTATGTTAACAATTGTTATTTCTCAAGTCAATATATGATGATGGCTTGTGTGATATGGGAGATATAAAAAGAATGTTTCCAAAACAAAATATGTAGAAGAGGAAGACAGAGCTGGGAATCAAAGGAAAGGTGTTTGTTTGCCTCTCCGTATCTCATTATGTTTTTCATCTATGAAAACTGCTAATAGTTCACATAGTTGTTAGGATAATTTAATGAAACACTGCAAATGAATGCTCTGATCATAGTCTGATTTATAATAAGATAAGAACTATTATAAAGAATATTTGATTGTTGCTATCAGGTTCCTTAAGACCTGGAATTATAGACTGTAAGGAGGGACTGATGGTCTTTCCGCCAGCATACTCTGGGAGGGTCAGTGGCCACTTTTTTTCACTCTCTACCCTCTACCTTAGATCCTCCAAACCTCTCAATATTAGTTATGGTTTATTTAACCCAATTCCAGAAATGATCTATGCACACCTGCAGGCTAAACCTCAATCAGTATAGGAACTAGCCAAATACATATTAATAGTTATTTTCCTAGCAAGTGGAATTTGGAAGTAGTTCACAGCTGTCATGACTGATGAATGTGAATCTAAAGCTATTCAAAGCCCCAGATGCCTGGGACAGCATCCTGCGGAAACTTCCTGACCTACACTAATGCTGTGCAGTGTCTCTGCTAGGCTATAGACTAAACTCCCTCTGATAGTCTGGGAACACTGAGTTTCTGGCCTCAGCTTCTGGTCATTACTCCTACTCCTTACTAATGTCCCCTCTGTTGCTCTCAAATTTATAATGCCACACAAAATGTCTACCCCATTTAAAACAGAAATTTTTGGAAATAGATGTCCTTTCTATATTGGATTTGAGTTTGAAGAGTGTCCCTAGGGCTTACTGTAGATTTGTGGACAAAATCTATACTTTGCATTCAAGAATTTTTTTTCTCATATATCTTGTTAATGAGTGAGAAGTATTTAAATATATGCATATATATTCACTCTTCCCCAACTTGGGTTGCACCCTCTGTTCTCATTGCACTATTAAACCCACATAAACTGGTTGCACAGTTCACATCCATCTGGTTATTGGCTTTCCATTCTTGGAAGTGCTCCTAGGGTCAATAATACAGCCTAGGCCTACAGTTTAAGACACTCTTGGTTGCTTTATACAGGCTCATTTAGAATAAATTTCATGCATTGGGGGAAGTTAATTGTGGTATCAGCTTATTATGAAGTTGTTAGAGAAAGTTTGCTTACATTAACAAACTGGTGTTCTACTGAGATTAATCTCTTCATTTCTATCATATGCTCCACATAAGACAAATAAAACATTTTAAATGAAAATCACCATAGATTTCTCCATAGCTAGTAAAAGAACTCACCCCAGATTCTGCAGGAGGGAATAGTATACTCTACAATACAATGGCTTGGGAAGAATAAGAAAACACATTCTGAGTCAATGAAGAATGAATATCTGACTGTCCTGTACAGAAGTGAGATATTGGACTGCATTACGAATACTTACAGCAAAGGCTAAACTCTTCTTCAGGCAAATTTTATTTTCAAAGACGTCTATATATAAACATGTTATTTAGACTTCTTAACAAAACATTATTGGCCACACACCTCTCACCTGCATAAATTTACTTGACAGAAACATCTGAATTATGAATGTTTAGGTAGCTTACACTTTTAGCATTTAATACATTTGAAAATGTTATGTAAGATCAGTAAGTTTTAAGATCGCTCCATTATAGAGAAAGATACAGGAAGAACTAAAGAGATTTTTCTGAACTTCCTAAAAAGAAATTTCTAAAAAGGCAATGTACATATCTCAGTAGTATGAACCTAACAGATAAATATTTCATAATAAAACAAAAAGAACCTCAAATTGGCTAAGAAAGGTCATAAAAATGACTCAATTGTTAAGTTAACTGATAAATATTAATTGCAGCCCATTATGTGTCAGATTCTAGGAGTCCCAACCTGGTAAAACCTCAAGTATTGCTCAACAGATTTTGGGTGGGAGGAGCCATCTCTCTAAAGAGACAGCACTTTGCTGAATAAGGAGCGAAGTGGCTAGTCATATCTTTGAATGCATCCTCTATATCTAATTATTCTCATTGTCTTCCTTCTCCTTGCCCATGTTTGTAGCTAAGATCATACTGACTGGGATCAACAAAGAGTTGCAATAGATTCCCATGATTGAAAAAATGAGAAAGAAAAAGGTCAAGTATATTTCTCTCTTTTTCTTATTCCTTTTTATTACATATTTCCCAAACTGTTTCTGTCTTTTTTTATTGTCTCCTTTTGTCTTCTCTGCTTCCTCCTTCACCTACGACCTTCTCCTTTTCTTTATCTTTCTTCTGTCATCTTCATTATCACCTCTTTTTCCTTTTTCTCCTCTTTTTTCATCTCTTCCTAACTGCAAAAGTACATATCAATCATTAACAAACAAGCTTGGAACAAGTATTTAAGATCTTCAGAGGACTCATCGGTCAGGATATAAAAAGATCACCATCAGGAATATTTTAAAGTTTTTATCATTGACATGATAAACAATGTCAGTTCCATGTAAAGACCACCAGAGTAACCTAGTAATCCAACAAAATTGAGTTCATTAAACACTGAAGCAAAGAAGATCACCACCTCAATAGTCTCAATAGTGTCTCAAAAGGGAGAAATTAAGGAAGATTTTGGGCTTTGGGGTTTGGGATAAAGTGATTTGAAAATAGGTCTTTCAAGATGAGGATCTAATTAGGATTTGGGAAAGTTTGTGACGTATCATTTAGAATTGTTTCTCCAGCAAGTAAAGGATCTTAAAGTAAGCCTTAATAATCAAACTATTGCTCTAATAAGCAAGCTGTCTGCTCAGGTATATGAACTGTTGTCCAAATCATTCACCTAGACAAATTAGTTTGAAAAAATTTCTTGAAGCAAAAAATAAAATGTATTGGCTTACGGGTTTATCTTTCTGGTTAAAAACTTCCTGATCAAACAGTTAAATTATATTGACACAGTTAGTCTCACTTCTAGTCTCAACAGTTATGTGAAAGAAGCCTTAGTTCTTATATGAGCAGTGGAGGACTTAGTTTAACACAAAGAAACTGCTTTTTTATCAAAATATTGGGTAAACTGCCCCACAATATATTCTAGAAAAACAGTGAAATATAGGCTTTATCAGTTCTCAACCAGGGAAGGTACTATATCCCAGGAGGTATTTGGAAATATATCAGGCACACTGTTTGCATTTAGAGAATAGTTTCCAGAGATGCTGTTTTAATCCATTTGTTTTACTATATAGGAAATACCTGAGACTGGGTAATTTATAAAGAAAAGAGATTAATTGGCTCATGGTTCTTCAGGGTGTACAAGAAATCTGGTGCTGGCATCTGCTTCTGGTGAGGGCCCCAGGAAGCTCACAATAATGGTGGAAGGTGAAGCAGGAGCAAGCACATTACATGACAAGAGCTACCGCCAGAAAGTGAGGCAGGGAAGGCCCCAGACTTTTAAACCACCAGATTTCAAATGAACTAAGTGAGAACTCACTTTTCACTAAGGGGATGGTGCCAAACCATTCAGGAGGAACCTGCCCCTGTGAGCAATCACCTCCCAAAAGTCCCACCTCCAACACTGGGAATCACATTTCAACATGAGATTTGGAGGGTACTAACATGCTCACCATATCACATGCTAAATGAATTGCAACATGCAAGGCAGACCACATGACAAAGAATTTTTCTACCTAAAATGCCAACAGACCCTGTTAAAAACAAGGGCTGAATGATCATAATTTAAGGTAGAGTTTCGGTTTAAAGACCACATTCTGAATACAATATACAGATTAGCAGCTTGCTATTTTTAATTTTCATTAACATGCCAGGAAGTTCTGTTCCATTAACATGCCAGGAAGTTCTGTATGTTCATTTTCAACATTCCATAAAAAATATGAATGCAATCATTAAAAAGTCAGGAAACAACAGGTGCTGGAGAGGATGTGGAGAAATAGGAACACTTTTACACTGTTGGTGGGACTGTAAACTAGTTCAACCATTGTGGAAGTCAATGTGGCGATTCCTCAGGGATCTAGAACTAGAAATACCATTTGACCCAGCCATCCCATTACTGGGTATATACCCAAAGGACTATAAATCATGCTGCTATAAAGACACATGCACATGTATGTTTATTGCGGCATTATTCACAGTAGCAAAGACTTGGAACCAACCCAAATGTCCAACAATGATAGACTGGATTAAGAAAATGTGGCACATATACACCATGGAATACTATGCAGCCATACAAAATGATGAGTTCATGTCCTTTGTAGGGACATGGATGAAATTGGAAATCATCATTCTCAGTAAACTATCGCAAGAACAAAAAACCAAACACCGCATATTCTCACTCATAGGTGGGAATTGAACAATGAGATCACATGGACACAGGAAGGGGAATATCACACTCTGGGGACTGTGGTGGGGTGGGGGGAGGGGGGAGGGATAGCATTGGGAGATATACCTAATGCTAGATGACGAGTTAGTGGGTGCAGCGCACCAGCATGGCACATGTATACATATGTAACTAACCTGCACAATGTGCACATGTACCCTAAAACCTAAAGTATAATAAAAAAAAATATGAATGAAGAACTGGGAAGACATAAAGCTGAAAGGGATAGCCAACATATAGGATACACAATCAAAATTCAAAGTTTTCTCAAAAAATAAACGAATAAAATAAATGGGATATTTTACAGCTAATGTATAGAACTTAGTGTACACTTACCCCCCGCCAAAAAAATTTAAGTTGGCCTCCAAAAGACCACCCTTGACAGTAGTTTAAGCATGGAACGTTTAGAAATTTTAGCAGTTCACAATTTCATATAACGTAATAATTGGGGAAAATTGGACCAAATTATTGGAAGAACATTAGAGTTTCAATTTTAAAGCACATTAGGTTAATTGTAGGACATTATGTACATTATATTTTATGAGAGACATTAGCAAATCAAGATTAAGTCAGGAGAAAATAACCAAGATGTTGAAGGGTATGAAGATCATAGCACATCTATACTGATGAGAAATTACTCAAGTAAGTGAGGTCATTCAGCTTGGAGATCTAGAGATATAGAAGCTAAGTAGAAATTGTCTTTGACAATATTTTAAGGAGCATCATCTTAAAAGAATGATTTGACATCATTCTAGGGTCTTGCTACTCAAAGTATCGCCCACAGACGTGCAGCTATGGAATCACCCAGGAGCTTACTAGAAACACAGAATTACGGGTCCCATCCCCAACCCATTAAGGTAGAATTTGTACTTTAATGAGATCTCCAGGTGACTCCGTGCACATTTATGTCTGAGAAGTAGTTAGAGATGTGTTTCTCAAACTTTTGTAGATGCAATAATCACCTGCTGTATGTGATAAAATGAAGATCTGAAGACCGGAACTCACACTTTCTGGTTTAGAATTTCCAAGGGAAAAGATCAGCTAATCTGTAAGTTTAGCAAGTACAGCAAGGGACGCTAATATCATGCAAGTTTAGGGAACTCTACTCCAATTCAAATAACTAAATTTATACACACTATTAAAATGAGCTAGATTTTGACAGGCATTTCTAAAATTTTGTCCTGTTGGAAGAAGGAGCTTTGGGAGGTAATGAGTCCTGGTCATAGACCTATTATAAGTAGAGACTGACCATCTGTCAAAAGTGACAAAGCAGGAAAGTTTGTTCTCTGTGGGAGGTAGAACGAACTAGATGATTTTATATTGCCTCCCAAATATAAAAATGTAGATTCTCCTATATCCAGCTGTGATTTCTCAAGCCAATTTGTGGAGACACATGTAGCAATAAAAGCCAGAGGCAAATCAAGAATACAAACTTTGACCCCCATTTCTGTGGTCCATTCCCACTGCTGCCTTTCATGAGCATTTGCTGGCAATTCATCTAAACTGTGATCCCAATGGCACCAAGAACTGAAAATAAATCCATGGGTTCCAGGAAGTAATTAAGGGTTTCTCTAGTGAGCTCAGCTTGAATTAACTTCAAGGAGTCTTGTAGCTACCCAGATTTTTCACACCAAGTCATGTCATGGTGCATAATTTAATGCTGTAATTTATTCACAGTAATTCTTGTTAAATGAAGCCCAGTGGCAGTTTTACCATAAAAAGGAAAGGAAGTATTGCTTGTTTTATTGTGAGAAACAATGTTCACTGAGGTAAAAAAAAAACCCAGACTCACCTATGATCTGTTAATATATATGTAATTGTTATGTGGAGTTCTCCAACTGAGCAGCTACAAGAGTTCTCAAATTGAACTGCTATGAAATTTCACCCTTATTTCTCTTTTATTACTCTGGTTGTTTGAAGATAAGATTCAATTAAAGTTTTGCCCTTCTGCCTCAAACTCTAGCACCAAGATACGCCACTCACAGGAATTTTCAGCAGATACTGTAACAAAATCGACAGCCATCATTTCATTTAACCATGCTCTCTCTCTTTTTCATGTAGTATTAAGCCTGTTATGAAGTAGAAAACAGTGTTTCTGAATAAGGAGAAAGAGGGAAGCAAAGGGAGGGAGAATCTGACAGATGTGAAAACTGGCTTTTCCAGTTGAAGTATTGGGCCTAAAATGTATATACCCCTTTCTTGATGACAGTATATGTCACTTGTGTGAGTATGAGAGTTTGTGTCACTTGTGTGAGTATGAGAGTTGTGTTGGTGGTGTTGCTTGGCCTGAATGGAAGCATACAGAACAGAGAGGAAATATACTAGACTCTTAGTTGCTGAAAGTCATTTGCTAATAACTATTTTTAAAGAAACAGTCTTTTCCTCCAAGCTGCAACTTAAGAAATAACACTAAACCTGTCTCAATGAGTAGCTTCCCCACACACCAGCCATTCATGCTAGAAATCTCCAAGTCGCACTCAATGCTTCTTATTTCCCAGTCCCCATAACCAATTGTTTATCAAGTCCTCTTTATTACACCTATGAAAGTTTCCTTTATATAGCACCTCCACTGCAATCTAATTAGTTCATAATTCATCTATTTTATAACACAGCCATTTAAATAGCACATCATCCTTTAAATAACACATCCTCCAACCTAATGAGTTCATAATTCAGCCTTTCATTTAACATATTTCTGAGTATCACTTTTGTATCGGACACTATCTCGTGAAGGAATTAGAAAGTGAATCAACCAATGTCTCTGCTAATCAGCTGTCCCCCAAATTATAGAACAAATCTTCCTCTCCTCTCTCTCATTTAAATCGCTTCCCCTTCCTCAACCAATGAATGTGTACCAAGATAATCTTTATAGCAGATCTGATCTAATGAAGTTTAAATGACTTCCAATGAGCTAAAAAAAAAAAGTTTTCCAATATGAGTACTAATGAAAATCATCTGAATTATTTGGGGAAAAAGAGAAAGAGAAAAAAATGGAGAAACAGTAGCATAAAGAAGAAAGGAAGGAATGAAAGAGGGAAGAAGAAAGAAGGGAGGAAGGAAGGAGGGAAAGAAGGAAGAAGGGAAGAAAGGAAGGGATGGAGGAAGCAAGGAAGGAAAAGAAAGAGAAATGGGTAAAGAGAAAAGGAAGGAAGGAAACAAGGAAGGGAGGAAGCAGGGGAGGAAGGGAAGAGGAAAAAAGGAAGATTAACTCCAGCCCCACCTCCCTATCAATTTGTGATTTGTAGGTTCGGTGCAGGGCAAAGGAAGCTGGCTTTTTACCAGACTCTCTGGGTGATTCCTATGATCAGGCAAGTCTGGGAAATACTAGGCTAAAGAGTACAGCCCAAAATATATAAACTGGCTTTCAAAATCCTCCATAATCTGCCCTGTATTTTGTATTTTGTCTTCTGGTTCGGTCATTTGCAAATCTTGCTTGCAAACCATAATTAACTGTCAGGCTTTGTAAACAATCCACTTCTGTTGGCCTCAACCCTGGATCCTTAGAGATCACGAATCTATAGATCTAGGATATGTACTTTAAAGAATCTAGTAGGTGATTCTGAGGTGCAATTGAAGTTTAAATCTGTTGCCCTAACCACATTACATTAGACCAATACTTTTCTCCAAGAGCCAACCCCTTTCCTCTCACCATCAAATTGTTAATTATTTTTTTTCTCCATGGTATATCCTACTTTTGTTTCTTTTCTAAACCAGGAAAACATTTTTCAAAACCCTCTTTAAATGTCACCTCCTCTATGAATACTTCTGTTTCCCCCTCAGCCCACAGCCTTTGAGTTTCCATAACCCCCGGCTTATATTGCTAGCCTCTTATTGCATCATCTTGTGCCTATTTGAATGAGTTTGCCTCTTCTGTTAGATTATGATAGCCTGCTTTCCAGAGATGCTGGCTTTTTCCCCTTATATACCTTATATAATCCCAAAGCATTTAAAAAGGGGTGGGAGGTAGAAAGGAAGAAAGGGGTAATTATTGAGAGGGACAGAAGTGGGGGGTATTTGGCATGCTGGTAATATTCTATTTCTTAACCTACATGGTAGTTGGCTATTAGTATGTTGTAATTCATTAAATTGTACATTTATAATTGGTATATTTTGTTGACATATGTGTTATCTCAATAAAAAGCAAAAAGAAGAAATAAAATTATCTACCATAATAAAAATACACTCATAGTCCAAACTCAGAAAAGAGACTACTCAACTACTTGTCTCTCTTCTACAATATCATTTTGCCCTGAGTCATCTCTTTTAGAGAAGATGAGATCTAAGATTCCCTGTCATGTAAGCCTACAGGTTGACCTTTTCATCAAATGTAATCATGGAATTTCTCAAATAGTTCTTGACAGTCTGCTGTGTCTTTTAAAATAAGGAGAGTCAGATTACTATTAAAAGATTGGAGAGAATAAAAAAATCTGGTTCAGATCAAATTTTGAGTCCAAAATTCTGATGTCTACTCTTTTATGCCTCCATAGCAATTTAGCAGTTGTAGAATTCAAATATGTTATTCCATGATTTTGAGAACCAGGTTCCCACAAGATGGAATAAAGTTTTAATTCATTAAATGTACTTTATGGTAGACTAGGGGTTCAACACTGGAAATCAGACAGCTTGCTGCCCTTAAAATGCTTACAGACTATTGAGAGAAAGGATGATTACAGTATAGTGTGAGAAGGACTATAGAAGTCCCCTGAGGAAAATGCATGCGTATCGGGAAAGATTACTACCTCCTATACAATCAACCTCACATTGGAGTCTGTTACAAAGCTCCACTGAGATACATACTTACTGGTCCCACCTGGATGGCAGGGGCAAATTATAAAATGAAAAACACATTGAAAGAGTTAAGCCTTGGGTAAGGTATGATTTTGCTCTTATAATGTTGACTCTCGGTTGACTTTTGACTGGTGGTTGCCTATTCCAGTGATCATTCATTGATACAACTATTTACTGATTCCCAACAGTATAAAAGGCACTATATTCAAGACTAAAAATAAGGCCAAAAAAAAAAAGACAGGGTATATCTCTGCCTTTGGAAAGTCACAGAAAGAACAAACAATCAGGAAATTAAAAAGATGTGACAAGCGTTGCAATGAGAAAGTAGAGATTATGTTTAGATATTTATGTCTCAGGGGAGACAGAAGTTGAAAACTGACCTTGAGTTGGTAAGGTGGGGAAATCTTTCCAGGCCTGAAGGGTCAAGAGGGAATAACTAACACAAGAGAGGAGTGAGAAGTCCTGGGACGGTGATTTGGCCAGAGGACACAGCACAGGAAAAGATCCAGAGGAAAAACTATAATCATGGAATTTCTCAAATAGAAATTCTCAGAGGAAAAGCAGATGACAGGTTCAGGGATCTGAGAAACCTTTATGATGAACATGAAGAAAAAGTAAGTGCTGAGATTGAAGAGGTGGACAGAGACCAATGAGTGATAGACCCTCAGAAGCTAGGTAAATTGGGTTTCACAGTTTTGGCTTATATTGTGGCAGTAAACAGAGAGATATCAGAACTCATTTAAGGTATTTTAAGCAATGAAGTGTTATAAGAGTTACATTCAAGAAAAAAAAAATCACTTAAATTGCCATTTGAGAAATTCAATGTGGGGAGGACCAGATTAGGGAAGGGAGGAGCTAAACCAGTCTTCTCAGCAGGGTTCATATACCGCATGGGGTTGGTGTGCTGGGACATAAGTGAAAGCTAGGGATACACATGGTGCAGTTTCAAGAGGTGAACATTTTACTTACAATTTGGGATAAAATAAGTTTTATGTTCTGTATGCTTCAAAGGTTTCACCCCATACATGTGCAAACAAAGCTAGCAGAACCTTGCTTTTCTCAGGCAACCAAGGTCATGGTTTTATCATGAAAGCCAAAAAAGTAAAAATAATTTATTTGTAGCAACAGATTAGAAAATATGGCACTTGTGTCTAGTCCCTGAGGCTTCACACACAAAAACTTAAAAGCAAAGATGATAGCCCTTCTCAGCCACAATTAGCAACTCAGTACTAAGCAGCAGTCATCAATGTAAAAAAAAATATGATATACTTAGATGTTTATTTAAAGTATGGGCTTTTTTATTGGAGAGATGCAAATTAGTCTAAATTTCAGTATCTTTTGTGTGAAAAAAGAAACTGAACAATTACTGCATGAAACTCTTCTTTCAACAACATTTAAAAGCCAATCATGCAAATTTTAAGCGAAAATCATCAGAAGTTTTAGAGCTAAAAAAGAAATGACTAAGAGCAAAACAATGAAAAGAACAATCAAACAAGCAAATGAAAAGTTCTTGGATTCTGCCTTCCAGATCCGTTTCAAAACCCTTTTGGAAGAAAATCTCATATTTAGAAGTACATTTAGAAAAGTGCTGTGCTATAGATGTGGCCAAATCTGTTTGAGTCAAGAGAGGGCAGTCAAACAGTTCCCTTAGACATCTCACCAGCCAACACATTTTAAAATATTTTAAACTTAAAGACAATTTAAGAGACTGAGGTAAAACTACTTATTTTAACAACTGGTTGCAAGCATATATCATCATGATTTGGCTATATTATTGGCCTGGAAGGCCAAATATATTAAAAGTCTGCAGAAAAAAACAAAACCAATAAGGGATCTGGAGGAGAAGGAGGAGGGTTGGTATGGGTGTGTGTATGCAAATACATATATAATTTATAATAAAGAATTGACTCACACGAAGCTGGCAAGTCCCAAGATTACAGAGTGAGTGGACAAGACAGAAACCCAAGAGAGCCAGCCCGAGTACAAAAGCTTAAGAACCAAGAGAGTTAAGGGTGTAGTCTCAGTTGAAAGGCTGGCAGGCTCAAGACCCAGCAAGAGCCAAGGTTTCAGTTTGAGTCCAAAGGCAAGAAGAAAGCTGGTGTTCCAATTTGAAGGCAATCAGGAAGGAAAAATTATTTCTACTCTGGGGACAGTCAGACTTTTGTTATATCAAAGCCTTCATCTGATTAGAGGAGCCCACCCATATCATGGAGGCCAATCTGCCTCATTCAGTCTATTGATTTAAATGTTAATCTCATCCAAAAGCATCCCCATAGAAACACCTAGAATAAAGCATGGTCAAATATCTGGGCACCCCATGGCCCAGTCAAATTGACAGATAAAATTAACCATTGCACTGAGTAATCTGATAAGTACTATTCAGTAATTAGTAGTGTAAAGACATTTCTCTCTATTTGAAAGATAGAGAAAAAGACATTTCTGTCTATTTGAGTGAGTTTTATAATAAGAGTTTTAAATTATATGTAGAAGATTTCTGGATTAATAGAGGGAAATTAGTTTAGATTTTTGATGTTTCTTTAGCTGAAAGTTATCCCAGGACACGGAGTGTCATCAACATGGGTCTCAAAATTAGCTCTTGTTGCTCCTTCACTTTCTTACCTTTAGAATTATAAAGACATCTGAACATTAAATATACAAAACAGATACACACAAACCTTGACAACCAAATCATTTAACAATTCTAAACATAAAGCTAAGTATTTGTTTCTTTTTTACTCATTTGCTTCCCTTAAAAAGCACTCCGAAAATTAGTGTTATGATAGAAGTAACTAAAACAGGGAGCTGGGACTATGATAAAGGTAAGCTACACCCAGGGACCCAGGGTAGGGACTTTTTTTTTTTTCTTTTTTCTTTTTCTTTCCTTTTTCCTTTTTTTTTTTTTTTTTTTTTTTTGAGAAAGTATCTTACTCTGTTGCTCAGGCTGGAGCTGGAGTGAAATGTCACAATCATGGATCACTGAAGCCTCAGCAAACCAGGCTCAAGCAACCCTTCCACCTCAGCCTCCTAAGTAGCTGGGACTACAGGCCTGCACCAACATGATTGGCTAATTTTTTATTTTTTGTAGAGACGAGGTCTCACTTTGTTGCCCAGGCCGATCTCAAACTCCTGGACTCAAGTGATTCTCCCACCTCAGCCTCTCAAAGTGCTGGCATGTGAACCACCACGCCTGGCTGGATGGGGAATATTTCAGTATAAGAAAACTTAATTCTGAAAGGAGAGAATAAGAGACATGATAAAAGTGACAGAATTACCAATGTGTATGACAAAAAGTATTAAATGATTTGGATACATAGAGGATATTTTGGGTATTTTTTTACCTATGTAATTTTTTTTGTATTTAGGAGGCTTAAGGAAGAAAGCACTAAAAAGCTCAGTGTTGGCATGGCTCTGAGAACCTCCCTACAGAGTTGAATAGACACATATTTTGAAACAGTTGGGACACGGCATTTCTATTAGTTTCTTTTATTCTCAGTATAGGCCTATTTTCTTCTTTTAAGCTGGTGTGTCAAAGGACTCTTGAGCAATTGAATCTTGTAGGCCCGGGTGATTTTTGGTCATTTGCCACATGTCACTCCTTTCTCAACCGTAAACCAACACTACAGAATTACAGCTAGAAGAATATGGTACCCAGGGATTTGGACAGTTCCATTCCAATAAATGATTTATATAATTAAAAACAAGGATAGGGAAGAGGGAACAAAACAGTGAAATACCGTACAGTTCTGGATCACAAAAGTTTTGAATACCTTCTACTTTGTAATATTTCCATTAAAGACTAGTGGGAGCCTGCCTTCAGTGCCTCACCTGAGAAAAGAAAAAGCTGTAATTAGTTTGCCTGCAGACAAACCCTTTTTTATTATATCCTGCTTTACCTAAAACAGAAAGAAGTCTTCTTGGTTCATATGTAATATCTGATTATGAACTGCACTATGCTGTCTTTGTAAAGATATCACTCACAAAAACGTACGTTCCTAAATGACAGAGAGCATTTCCAGCTGCTCGAAATAGATCTGGCACATAGTATAAACTCAAAAAAAATTTACTAATTTAATGTTGAATGCTTTCTGTGAAAGGGAATTTTAGTTCCATAATTAGCTACATTTACAGGAATTGAAATAGTAGCAAACAGAAACAGAAATAGAGGGCTAGAACTCTAATAAATGGCAATGGGGGACAGATTTGGAGTGTCATTTGCACAGAACATTCTGCTTGCACCCTTCCTGATCTACTCTCTACCCTAATATACCCTGATATATCTTCCAGGAGGTTGAGTGTCCCCTTTTCCTCTGTTTCCTATTGGGTTCTGCCAATGGGTGGGCCAGATGAAGATTAGAAGGCAAAAACAAGAAGCTGACACTTTTGTTTCATTGGCTTTTTGCTTTCCAGGCTCAATCTCAGCCATTTAACTAGCAAAGTACTCATCTTCAAGGGCGCTGACTCTCCTACAGCTAAAGTTCTCACCCAATCCAAAGATTGGGTGAGCCTAAGCCTTTGCCATCACTTGTGAATTTCCTTTTACCCTTCCCACACACATCTTTGTCAATTGTTTTGGGTATGCCATCTTCCTATGAGGACCCTAATCCATACAGCTTTGGATGTTGTGAGGTTTGGACTCAATTCTGTAGGAAAGAAGAATCAGTAGCTTTTCAAATATCGAGACATTCATACACCTCGAAATATTAGCAGCACAAAACAACCTAGTACACTGCAAGGTGCTTAGGAAGAGAGTCCTTATTAGAAGCCATAATCAGTGCTTAAAAGAATGCATGATATACATGGCCCAAGATACATATTAGTTAAATAAAATAATAAGTTAACCTTGAAAATAATTGATTAAATCTGTGAAGCCTACAGCTTAAACTTCAAGCAAGTACAAAGAGAGTACATTTTCTAGAAGAATCTCTAGTTATTTTGGAATGGAGGAGTAACAAAACAGGTAGACTACAGAGGAATTCTGTAAGCTTAAAGCAGGCAGTCTAAATGAGGAATTCCCCGAGACAGCAGGACCTGAGCAGGGTCTCTTTGGCCATTAGGTGTTGTGCCAGCTTTTATTCCCAGCTGTCTTACTGTGACCACAGATAATTCCTTCTGAGTGATTAAGTAAGTACATTAGTGTAGAGCCGCAGTGAACAATTATTGCTTTACAATCCATAAGGACAGACCTGGAATCGAACACAGAGCCAAGGCATCACTTGCCTCACCCTGCAGATGCCACTCTGATATCAAAAAATGGTTGACTTCATTAAGCTTTCCAAGTATAGAGCCTATGCGGATATTTTTAGAATTAGGAAGCCTGCAAGACAAGATGCCAAGCAGAACTAAGAAGGTGAGGGGGAAAATACAAAGGAGAAATTGAACAAAGAAAGATGCTGTTGGATTTCTTGAGCAAGTTCTTTTACTTCCCTTTTGTGGCCAAATTTCCTAGGATGAGGACTTTTTTTTTTTTTCCACCTCGAAATGACCTTTATTATTATTTGTGAGAGACTGTATAAATAAAACTTGTCTGTTACAAAAAATATGGGAAATGCAGTTAGAGCAGATAGGTAGACTACTATGTGGGAATATGTAAATTCTGCAACTGAATTTTATAAGTGAATTAATGTTTCTACAAAGGGTTAAACTAGGCTAACCAAGAACAAAGTGATCCATCTAGAAGCTTAATTGGTACAGAGTGATAAATTACATCTGCATAGATACTCATCTAATTCTAATTATAACCTGTAAGGTAAGTATCATTATCTCCAAATGAGTAATGTAAGAGTGCATATGAAAGCTATCATATACTGATGGTGTACTGTGTTCTAGGCATGTGCAAGCATTCTAATACATGAATTCATTTAAACCTCAAAATATCTCTGTAGAATTAGATTTTACTGGCCCTATTATTGTAGGTGAGAAAACTGACATCTATTCCACTTCCCAGGATAACATAACCTATACATGTCAGAGATGGAATTTTAACCTCATCTTTGAACTACAGATTCTCCAGGGTTTCCACTATTCCATACTGTCGTATGATTTTCTATCGGAAATACTGCCAGGTATTCTTAAAATTGGTGTTTCACACCACCAAGAGACTCCCCGCCTTTATGCTCTTCCACATGTCTTCTACTAGCAAAGATGGGAGAGAGACTCTCCTCTTGAATTTATGCATTAATTGCATGCTCGTATTAATGATTAGTGGAATAGTTCAGAATTATAAAATATACTTTGTGCTCTTCAACCCACCCTATCCTAGAGTAGAGGAACACTCTATAGAGAAAATAGTGCAGTATTATTTTCTTTAAAATATAGTAGCCACATTTGGATTCAAGGGACCAAAAACAGTGAGTTATCAAGTTTTCTGAGTTGAAAGTGGAAGTGCAGAACTTGTGAACTGTTGTATTTGGAAACATATTTGAAAAAGCTGCAAAATCATGAAGCCATTCAAAATACTATAAACCAGAGGGATAAATGAATGTACCATTATCTGCTGGTTTATCTATTTTATCCACTTCAGAGTATCTTAATTCTCATGTTCCAGGACTGCTGAATATGTTTAATTCTGCCAAATTATTTCATAACATAGAAATGATAAGAATAAAACATATATGAATTAGCAGATTTAGAATATGTTAAGTAGGGTATTGGAGTGGTTATAGACTCGGTGAACAATACTAGGAGCATAAGACACGGGAGAAGTGGTTATCAAATTCTAAATATTTAATATTTCATTTCTTCAGTGAAATCAACCATTCCACAAATGAATGATAGCCTAATTGTTGCTGGAGTTCAATTCTTGGATTTAAAACTCACAAGAGTGTAACTCTCAGCAAGTTATTTATCCTTTCTAATTCTCCGTTCCCACATGTGTAGTGATGAAAACAAAAATCTGTTGTAAGGCTCAACAGAATTAATGCCCTTAAGCACTTAGAGGAAGAGTTCAATTGATGTTTGCTCTTTGTATTAGAGCCTGAAAATTACTGTTCCCAAAATTTGCCTTCAAGAGAGCATCTACTAACAATAGGCTAAGAGTTGTGATACTGTGGCTAGGATCAAAGCTAGGAACACTCTGAATAGCATTAATTCTTTGATGACTTTTCTACTAACAAGACTCCTTTACATACCTTCAAACTATGATAATATATTTTGTGTTTATATAACAATTACATGTTTCAAACGCAATTGTATTTATTTCTGCATTTGGTTTGACAATCAACACTTAGCTTCATGGATACTGCACTGTTTCTGTGGCCAGTGCTGCCACTACAATCTTAAGCTTTAAGTCCTTCCAGAAGAGACCAGGAGACCACCCACGTTTACCCAAGGCATGAGATTGAAACATTAAGTTTGAATTTGGAGAATCAATGAAGTATACATGGTGACATCTGCTTTGTGCCCCTCAGCACCTATATAAAATATTTGCAGGACTATGTGGTAACTCCCAAGGGGTTCCTAACTGTATATTTGAAATTAATATTCATATCATTATATAACTTGAAAATAAATTACAGTTATCCTTTGGTTCCTATAAGATATTGGCTCTAGGACCCCTGTGAATACAAAAATCCATGATACTCAAATCCTTTATACAAAATGGTGTAGTATTTTCATATAATCCACACACATCCTCCTGTATACTTTAAATCATGTCTAGATTACTTATAGTACCTAATACAATGTAAATGCTAAGTAAATATTTGTTATGTTGTATTTTTTATGTGTATTATATTTTATTGTTGTGTTGTTATTTCTTATTGGGTTTTCTTTTGGAATATTTTTGATCCATGGTTTGGTGAGGGTGTTACTGTGGAGGTTCAGCTTTTCAGCGTTTTACATTTATATTGTCAACTTTAGTTTATGTTTTATGAACTTCCTCTTCACTTTCTTTGATCATTTTTTATGGGACTATTCAATATTTCCTTGCCAATTGTGTAATATCTCATTATACAGTTAACTCTTGGACAACACAAGCAATAGAGGTATGAACCCCTGATCAGTCAAAAATTTGTGTATAGCATTTGACTCCTTTATAACTTAATTACTAACAGCCTACTGTTTGACAGGAAGCATTACCGATAAACAGCCAATTCACACATGTTTTGTATGTTATGTGTATTATGTACTATATTCTTACAGTAAAATAAGCTAGACAAAAGAAAATGTTGTTAAGAAAATCATAAGAAAGAGAAAATATACTTACTGCTTATTAAGTAAAAATGGATCATTATAAAGTCTTCGTCTTTGTGCCTTCATGTTGAGTAGGAGCAGAAGGAAGAGCAAGGGCTGATCTTGCTGTTTCAGAGGTAGCAGAGGCAGAAAAAAATCAGGTGGACCTTTGCAGTTCAAACTGTTGTTCAACTGTCAGTTAAGAATATTCACATAATACTAGTTTTTTAAATCACTTCTTTGTTGGAAATACTAACATAAGAATTATTACAATAAAGAACAAAAGAAAACACTAAAGCATAAAGCTCTTAAAAAAATTAGCCTTTTTATTACTTTTAAATATTATCTCTAAAATGCTAAGTACAAACCAAGTTTAGACTTATAAAACTCATGTGTATTAGTCTTTAAATCTTATAGAGTTTTTAGCCTATTTGTAAGTATTATCTCATTAGGGAAATGCAAAACTTCAGAGGCATCCACAAAAATTTATATGAAGAAGAGCTTTAAAATTGTAAAATTGTAAAGTTTTCACATTACTTTAAAATAGCCCGCTTTTGCAGTTAGAAGCTTGAGTGAGTTTTCACTGATTCGAGTTTAGAACCTCTTAAAAAATGTAATGAACCAAAACAGTTGTTCTAATATTAAACACCCTCAGTAAATCTTAAAGAAGTTTAGTATTGAACCAGAATTTTTTTTCTAAGTTAAAACAACCATTCATTTTAATACATGTTAAGGGGTTTTGAAACATTTTGGCAAAATAGGATTTATTCTTTTTTTCCTCAGGGTTACCAAAAAAACTCCAAAAACATAAACAAACAAATGAACAAAAAATTTAACTTATAAAGAGAACACTTGGCTTTTATATTTTAAAACAAATCACTTAGTAATTGTGCTACTACTCTTGAAAGACTTCTGTTAGTGGATTTTTTGTAGGCTTTAGGTCAGTGCTATTAGTGACAGTTGTATACACCTTTATTTCTCCATTACCAGAAACACCTGTGTTTATGTGTTTATTATCCCATGGAGTCCCTTAAAGCTTAGAAGTATTCATCTTTGTATCCCCAGAGCCAGCACAGTGCTTGGTCCATTATAGATGCTAAATAATATTTTATGGAACTAAGTAATGGTGAAAACACACACAAGATCCACAGCATAAATTTACCACCTTCCCTCTGATTAAGGGCAGAAAAAAAATCAAAAATGTTTAGCCTGCATTTTCACAATTGGGATTCTGTAGAATAATATTGATGGAGATTTTTATAGATCTTCACACAGTCAGGGGAAAAAACCCACCTACTTGGAGAACATTGCTTCCTTTTGGAGAGGCATAATACACCTATGAAGAAATATTAAACATAATAAAAGATACTGTTTCATACATGCCTCTTCCAGTTTCTAAAATAAAGAGACAATAAGTTGCCTGATTTGTTAATTTTAAAAACTGCAAGAAAATATAGCCTTATGAAAAAGGAACAGAGTTACAAGTTGGAAGTCAATCAAGAGAAGTATAGGCTAAAAAACAAAATGAGCTCATTATAATAATAAAAGTTTAAAATACAAGGAACCCCAAATTCAAGAACGAAATATCAATTTGTGATGGAGTGTAATCAGTAGGAAAATTGAATTGCAGAAAACAAAATCAGTAACATGATGAACAGACTTGAGAAACCCCAAGAACATAAAGTAAAAAGATAGAGAAAAATGATACAATTTGATAAATATTTTGATTTAATTTATAAATTAAATGTGCTATTCTTAAAAACACAATAAATTTAATTTAAAAAAAAAGCAAATCCAGGATCTAATACAAATATTTCTGGGAAAAAATGGATAAGAAACTGGAGACTATACATTAAATAACTTACCAACTTATGTAAAAAATACATGAAAAAAATACCACAGTTAGATTTATCCTGGGTTTGGGTATTTTTAACTTTTTATTTTGGAAATGTTCAAACATATAAAAGAAAAAAGAAAAGAATATAATGAACCTCTAAGTATACATCACCCAGCTTCAGCAATTATAAACATCACGTTAGCACTTGTTTCATTATAGCTTTTTTTTTTTTCAGAGAGGGGGAGGAATTATTATGTCCCTTATGAATGCTGAAGACACAACTTTAACAAATAAAAAGGTATTTTTCATATAACCACCATAAAGCTAGCACACCTAACAACTTAATATTAATAGTAAATTCAACTTCCCTTTGGCAGGATCATAAAACCACAAAGAGGTTAGAGCTAAAAAGGAAAAGTCTAACTGACTATAGCTCAAATACCTTATCTTTGCAAAATCAAACAAAACAAAGCAAACAAAAACAGACTCTTAAAGCCCATCTCAAAGTCTTGGAAGGGGCCCTGAATCCCATTTCTTTAGCTTCATGATAAATTTACCTCTGACTGGAATGTGCCACTCTTAGCATCCTGTTAAGAGGCAACAGGATTCCACAGGTTATCAGACTTCATGACATACCAAGAGAGGCTGGACCCTAAGCAGAGAGCAGAAAATACATTTGTTTTGTTGCTGCTTGTTCCTCAATATCTAGGAGGGTGCTTGATATTGAAAGGGTACTTAATAAATATAAAATGAATGAATAAGGACAGTAGAATCTCCTTAGACTCAACAAAACATGTGCATGCCTCAAACATATTAGAACTACTGAACCTCAAGTAATAACACTAGGAGAAACAAGGGGCTTTTCAGCCAAAACCAATATGGGCCAAGTCCTAAAAAGCAGAGGGGCTTGCTCTAATTCTTTGGCACAGCATAGGACCTAGAATAAAATCTTAATATAATGCCGGAAGGGTTCAGCCTAAATCATGAATCAGACTGAATTTCTGGCTGGCAAGACAAGATGAGGATTTAAATTGTAATTACTTAAATGGAAATGAAACAAATATTTTCCTTGCACAATTGAAGATTCTATGAAAACTTATAATTGCTACATTTATGTTGCGTGTTTAGATATGTTTGGCATCGGTCCCAGCATAATTCCAATTAATCTTATAATGACCTTTTGAGTCTGTAGTACCTAGGGGTTAGAAGCTCAGATTTCGGTTTCAGACAGACGTAATTTCAAATACTAGCTCTTCCATTTGTTAACACACACCCTGAGCATTCACAACATTCATAACAGCTATAATCTTCAGTTTCCTCACCTGCAAAATATGAGTATTGTTTCATAGATAGCACACAGCAAATTTCATTTATTAGCTAAGGTTATCTATATCTACATAAATAAATATTTATAAGTATGATACAGAATGTAACTTACCAAACAAACAGAGGTAATAAATGTTGAGAAAAGAATTTAAGAATAGGTGTGTTCTGGCCCTACAGCTAGGTCTCTAGCCACTAGAAATGACTCAATCTTAACAGTTGCCATCTTAAGACATCTAAACACTTGCCATTATTTGATATTTCTAATTCTCTGATTTTCTTTTAAGGTCCTATTATTATATAATTTTTTTCAAATACAACCACTGAGGTAAATGTTGTTGCAGTCCAAATTTCCAAAGACATGACTCTTTCTTTTTATTTTTCATCCAAATGTTGAGTATTTCGTCTCAGTTGTTTCTCTTTCTAATTGCTTTAGGAGATAACATCATTGTGAATAGATTTTCTGGAAATCAAGATTGGAGAATAGAGCTGTTCAACCATGTTTCTCATGCTCAATATACGCTGTCTTAGTTGATTTTTCCATGAAGCATTCACCACATTGGCTTCTGCCTTACCTTATCCTTCTCAGATCAAGTTTCAAAAAAGATTAAACTGAAATGATCTCTTCTGAGCATTTTATTTCAGCACCTAAGGTAGCTTGGCATTTCTTAATAGATTAGGTACAAGTTTTAATGTATCTCCATAAAAGTGCTATCTTCCAGTTAACTGTACCTTCAGAAATACTCCCTAGGCCTTTTAGCAATCCTCATAGTTTATCTGGTAAAGCAGCTGGCTGAGAGGACAAAACTGTTTTCTAAGAAAATAATCAGACCCACTAAAGTATTTAATAGCAAGCAAATGGTTCCTATAAACCACATTCAAGCATCCTTTGCAGTCCTCAATAATATATTAAAATGTGCATACTTTTCTGAACCAGTTTGATGCCCCTTACACTGTGTATACACAAAAGAACATATTTGGAATCCTATCAGGTAATACAGAATCAGAGGTCCCAAATGAAACCTAACATATCAGTATTTAAATAAATGAAGCCCAGGCTCTTTGTAATATTTTATGCATAAATTATTAAGCCTTTCTCTAAGCCAGAGGGAAATTTTCAAATGTTAATTATATGTTTTCTCTTGGATCTTATTTTGCCAATCATAGTGTCTAAGGTTTCTCTCTCATTCTTTACCATATAATCATTCTGGATTCCTTCACTCTCTTTTAACTTTTGTCACGCATCTCGGATCTATTTAATATTTTTCTTGTTTTCTGCTTCCCCCTTAACCAAAAATTAAGCTCCGTGAAAGAGCAGGAAATCTGTCTTGTTGCTGCTTTTTAATCCATATCTAAGACACTAACTCATATTTATATGATACTTAATAAACATTAAATGAACAAGTAAACATAGGTCCTCTAACTCTAAATCCCTGTGAATGAAGGTCAGGTTGTTTCAATAAGACCTTAATAGTCAGTGATCATGACCATTTTAACACCAATTCATTTTATTTTAACTTTTATTTTAGGTTTGGGGGTACATGTGAAGGTTTGTTACATAGGTAAACTTGTGTCATGGAGGTTTGTTGTACATATTATTTCCTCATCCAGGTATTAAGCCCAGTACAGTAGTTATCTTTTCTGCTCCTCTCCCTTCTCCCATCCTCCACCCTTAAGTAGACCCCAGTATCTGCTGTTCCCTTTGTGTTGATAAGTTCTCATCATTTAGCTCCCACATATAAGTGAGAATATGCAGTATTTGGTTTTCTGTTCCTGTGTTAGTTTGCTGAGGATAATAGCCTCCAGCTCCATCCATGTTCCCACAAAAGACATGATCTCATTCTTTTTCACAGACACATAGTATTCCGTCATGCACATGTACCACATTTTGTTTATCCAATCTGTCATTGATGGGCATTTAGGTTGATTCCATGTCTTTGCTATTGTGAAAAGTGCTGCAATAAACATTCGTGTGAATGTTTCTTATATAATAGAACAATTTATATTCCTTTGGGTATATACCCAGTAATAGGATTGCTGGGTCAAATGATAGTTCTGCTTTTAGTTCTTTGAGGAATCATCATACTGCTTTCCAAGTTGGTTGAATTAGTTTACACTCCCACTAAGAGTTCATAAGTGTTCCCTTTTCTCTGCAGCCTGACCAGCATCTGTTGTTTTTTGATTTTTCAATAATAGTCATGCTGACTGATGTGACATGGTATCTCATTGTGGCTTTGATTTGCATTTCTCTAATGATTAGTGATATTGAGCTTTTTTACATATGCTTCTTGGCCACATATATGTCTTCTTTCGAAAAGTGTCTGTTCATGTCCTTTGCCCACTTTTTAATGGGGTTGGTTTTTTCTTGTAAATTTAAATTCCTTATAGTGCTGGGTATTAGATATTTGTTAAATGCATAGTTGGCAAATATTTTTCCCCATTCTGTAGGTTGTCTGTTTATTCTGTTGATAGTTTCTTTTGCTTTGCAGAAGCTCTTAAGTTTAGTTAGATCCCATTCATTAAATTTTGCTTTTGTTGTGATTGCTTTTCATGTCTTTGTCATGAAATCTTTGCCTGTTTCTATTTCCAGGATGGTATTGCCTAGGTTGTTTTCTAGGGCTTTTACAGTTTGGAGTTTTACAGTTAAGTCTTTAATCTATCTTTAGTTGGTTTTTGTATATGGTGCTTGGAAGGGGTCCAGCTTCAACCTTCTGCATATGGCTAGCCAGTTATCCCAGCATCATTTATTGAATAGGGAATCTTTTCCTCATTGCTTGTTTTTGTCAAATATCAGGTGGTTGCAGGTGCACAGCCTTATTTCTGGGCTCTCTATTCTGTTCCAATGGTCTATGTGCCTGTTTTTGTACCAGGATCATGCTGTTTTGGTTACTGTGGCCCTGTAGTATAGTTTGAAGTTGGGTAACATGATGCCTCCAGCTTAGTTCTTTTTGCTTAGGATTGCCTTGGGCTCTTTTTTGGTTGTATATGAATTTTTAAGTAGATTATTCTAGTTCTGTAAAGAATATCATTGGTAGTTTGATAGGAATAGCATTGAATCTGTAAATTGCTTTCAGCAGTATGGCCATTTTAATGATATTGATGCTTCATATCCATGAGCATGGGATGTTTTTCAACTTGTATGTGTGTTCTCTGATTTCTTTGAGCAGTGTTTTGTAATTCTCATTGTAGAGATCTTTTGCCTCCCAGGTTACTTGTATTCCTAGGCAACTGTGAATGGAATTGCCTTTCTGATTTGGCTCTTGGCTTGGCTGTTGGTGGTGTATAGGAGTGTTAGTGACCCTTGTACATTAACTTTTATCCTGAAACTTTGCTGAAGTTGTTTATTAGCTGAAGGAGCTTTTGGGCTGAGACTGTGGGGTTTTCTAGCTATAGAATTATCTCATCTGCAAACAGAGAGTTTGACTTTCTTTCTTCCTATGTCCCCGCCCCTTATTTCTTTCACTTGCTTGATTGCTCTGGCTAGAACTTCCAATACCATGTTGAATAGGAGTGGTGAGAGAGGACATCATTGTCTTGTGCAGGTTTTTAAGGAGAATGCTCCCATCTTTTGCCCATTCAGTATAATGTTGGCTGTCAGTTTGTCATAGATGGCTCTTATTATTATGAGGTATGTTCCTTCAATACTTACTTTATTGAGAGTTTTTAACATGAAAGGGCGTTGAATTTTATTGAAGGCCTTTTCTGCATTTATTGAGATAATCATGGTTTTTGTCTTTAGTTCCCAATTGATTGTTATAAGTTGTTCTGCCAAAAATAAACCTGTATTATTAAAAAGAAATTATGAAAACAATGTTTTCTACAAGGAAAGGGGAAATATGAGCTGGATAGTTTCAGAGTCACAACAAAAATATCTTTCTGACAGAAATTTTAAAAATCGTGTTTTTATATCTGAAAGTATTGCTGTAAAACTCAGGCACCTCATATTAAATCCTCCCAGGGTAAATGCAGTCATAATATGTGGAGATTTTCAGGCAGCATAAAGAGTTTAGGTTTTCTGCCTGCAATGGCAAATAACTGAAGAGTTTTACGTGGCGACAAAACTGTGCAGTTTTGCATTTTTGAAAAAAAGATAACTCTGGCTTCATTCTGGGAATGGATTAAGAAGGAGGAGAGAGTATATGTGAGCCTAGATTTAAAGTTTACTGAAAATGTGGAAGCGAGAGACGATGGTGGGTTTGTTCTGCTTCTATGCTTACCAAGCATTCCACAGACTTTGACTTGTCTGCTTGAGAGCACATTCTAGAAATACCAATATAAAAATGCCAATTTATGCAAAAGGTTTTTTTTCCTATTTAAGTTAATATATTAGCATTCTGGTTTCATACATCAGTTTGGTGAATTTAGTTACTGTGATTCTACTTGCATTGAAAAGAAAATTCAGGTTTCTGAGATTGCAAGGCCGAAGATCATACCCCGGACCTTGACAAATGCACCAAGATAAATGATGCCTTGTGAAGCCTTGTGAAAGACAGTCATCTTTTTTCTGGTGACATCCCAAATTCCACGCTGGATGTGCTTCCCTTCATTCTGAATTTAGAATGTGATCTTGATCTTGAAGGAGAGCTGAGAGTCATCACAAAGCCTCAGGTGCATCTTTATTTCACAACTACAGAAAAACTCCTCTTTTTCTCTATTTTATCTATTTTTACTACCATTGTCTGTTTCTTAAAGAGTAATGTCATAGGTCCAACCATGTGAGGGAACTATCTTTATTGGCCCTGCAGACCACAAATTTCTTCTAAGCAGACATGAAAGAATTAAGCAGCCTAGAGGGAAAATGAAATAGTAAGGAAGGTATAGCTATATGGAAACAAATAGATCTTAGCTCTTTCTTTGGGTTTTCATAATCCTCTTCTGTTTCTCACTTTGATTCCTGACACCATCAGTACCCTTAATAGCTAGCAGTAACAGCTACCTATTCATAGAGCACTTACAAATGTTACTACTAATAACATTTTATTATAAACAATAATTATTTTATTGGGGCCATTAGAGTGTTCATTGTATAATACATGCTCTCTTTATCCTGGCCTGTACTTATATAATAGTTACCATATGCCCTTTGGTTCATGCAATTAAAGATATGTGAGCTCTAATCTTATTCTGTTGTATTATAGTAAAGGCCTATCATAATGATGGTGTTCGTTAGAAGTTGATATAACAGTTTCTGGATTTGTGACATTGTTTCATGTTTTTTGCATTACTGTTCCTTACTTCTACATTGTTTTTCCCATGGACACATCCTGGAATTAGCTTTGCTTTTGTTTTCCACATTTGTCATTGCTGTTATGAAATCTTGAGGGCCTACTTCCAAAATGTATCCATAACTGTATGGTTGGCTGTAGCATACAGTTCTACTTTAGTCCTGATCTGAAGAACAAGAAGGAAGATGAAATTACATTTAAACATCTAAGCCACAGGGAGAACCATAGTGCCATTCAAATACTAGAGCAGGACAAGTTAGGAGCTGAATATAGACCTCATCAAAATGAATTGACATGGCTATCTAACCCAAGACCATCATTGGGAGAGATGTGTATGGTAGAAACAAGGGTTTTTCTCCACTTAGGTTTTGAATTAACCAAAAAATAAGTTTAGAAATCAGCAGATAAATATCAAATCACTGATGTTATTACTAGCAAAGCAGAAATTTGAGAATGTAGCTTTCTTTATAAGCAAGTAAGCCTCCTTATTTATAACTCCTGAATGAAAGACTTGCCCACCCATTTACAATTAACAGTAGACTGGAGCAAACCTCACACATAGGTACTTCTATCTAAAAGAGCAGAAATTAATGTGTATTCCCTGAAATTAGCTCACTAACTACAGAAAAAAAAGAGAGGGTGTCTGACCTATCAATGCCTTCATTTTTCTTCAAAACTCATCAGAAAAGTATGTCATTTTCCTCTCTACCCTTCTAATTGCCCAGGGGGAGAATAATGGAGAGTACATACTTAATAGGGTTGGCACACTAATGGATGTCCCTCCACATGGAAGGAAACATCAGAAGAATGAAATAAACATTCCCCTTTAAAAATACCAAAACAGTCCCATTCTCAAATTTGACTCTCAAATCAAAGCAGTATCATTTCTCACACACACACTGATATGGTTGCTGTATCACACCCAAATCTCATCTTAAATTCTAATCTGAATTGTAATCCTTATGTGTTGAGGGAAGGAGCTGGTGGGAGGGTGACTGGATCATGGGGACGGTCTCCCCCATGCTGTTCTCATGATAGTGAGTGAGTTCTCAGGAGACCTGATGCTTTAAAAGTGTTTGTCAGTTCCCCCCACCTTCCCCTCTCTCACCTCCTGCCATGTAAGATGTGCCTTGCTTTCCCTTCGCCTTCTGCCATGACTGTAAGTTTCCTGAGGCCTCCCCAGCCATGTGGAACTGTGAGTCAATTAAACTTTCTTTCTTTATAAATTACCCAGTCTCAGGCAATATCTTCATAGCAGTGTGAAAACGAACTAATATACACACATAATTTCTTCTTTGTTTGAAGACAATTATCTTCTATACTCCTTCTATTCCATCTCCCTCTTGTATGTGACTGACATCCAAATGGCCTACTATGACCACATAATCTTTTTGCTCTTTTAATTATAATATATAAAGTACATACAGATGAGTAAACACATGTAGAATAAAAATTATTCAGCAAACACCTGTCTAATCACCATTCAAATTAAGAATTATAAAATTACTACCTTCCTAGAACACCTTCATGTGCTCATTCCTGATTATAATCCTCAAGCCCTGACTCAAATGTTAGAGGTAATTTTCATTGTGATTTTGTTGATAGCTATAGCCTTGATTTTTCCTTAAAGTTTTACCAACTCTGATTGCAGCTCTAAAAGTGTAAATCTTTTGTCTGTTTTTGAACTACAAATGGATTCATGCCTTTTTTTTTTTTTTTTAACAATCTCGCTCTGTCACCCAGGCTGAAATATAGTAACGTGATCATAGTTCATTGCAGCCTCCATCTTCCAGGCTCAAGCAATCCTCCCATCTCAGCTTCCTGAGTAGCTGAGACTACAGGCACACACCACCATGGCTGGCTAATTTTTTTTTCTTTTTAAGTACATATGAGCTCTCACTATGTTGTCTAGGTTAATCTCAAACTCCTGGACTCAAGCAGTACTCCCATATTGGCCTCCCAAAGTGTTGGGATTACAGGTGTAAGCTACTGTGCACGGCCATGTTTTGCTTTTTGCAACCCAAATGTTTGTGAGACTCATCTGTGTTGCTTTACATAGCTGTAGTTGACTCACTTTCCACTGCTTTAAAGTATTCAATATATAAATATGTCACAATATACTTGTCTATTCTGTTATAAAGGACATTTGGATATTACGAAGAATAATGCTGTGGACATCCTTGTACATGCACTATAGCTCAAAGGTTCTCCAGTTTCCTGGAGTAGAATCTCTGGGAGTTTGTTTCTCTATAAGAGTATGAATATGTTCAATTTGATTAGACAAGCTAAAACCGATTTTTTTGTCTTTATTCTAAAAAAAAAGAAAAACAGGATGCATGTGCAGAATGGGCAGGTTTGTTACATAGGTATACATGTGCCATGGTGGTTTGCTGCACCTATTGACCCATCCTCTAAGTTCCCTCCCCTCACCCCCCCATCCCCCACCAGGCCCTGCTGTGCGTTGTTCCCCTCTCTGTGTCCATGTATTCTCAATATTCAACTCCCACTTATGAGTGAGAACATGCAGTGTTTGGTTTTCTGTTCCTGTGCTTGTTTACTGAGGATGATGGCTTTCAGCTTCATCCATGTCCCTGCAAAGGACATGATCTCCTTCCTTTTTATGGCTCCATGGTGTATATGTACCACATTTTCTTTATCCAGTCTATCATTGATGGGCATTTGGGTTGGTTCCATGTCTTTGCTATTGTAAATATTGCTGCAATAAACATACGTGTGCATGTGTAGAATGACTTATATTCCTTTGGGTATATTCCCAGTAATAGGATTGCTGAAACAAATGGTATTTCTGGTTCTAGATCCTTGAGGAATCACTATGCTGTCTTCCACAATGGTTGAACTAATTTACATTCCCACCAACAGTGCAAAAGCATTCCTATTTCTCTACAGCCTTGCCAGCATCTATTGTCTCCTAACTTTTTAATAATCACCATTCTGACTGGTGTGAGATGGTATCTCATTGTGGTTTTGATTTGCATTTCTCTGATGATCAGTGATGTTGAGCTTTTTTCATGTTTGTTGGCTGCATAAATGTCTTCTTTTGAGAAGTGTCTGTTCATATCCTGTGCCCACTTTTCGATGGGGTTGTTTTTTTCTTGTAAATATGTTTAAGTTCCTTGTAAATTCTGGATATTACACTTTCATCAGATGGGTAGATTGCAAAAATTTTCTCCCAATCTGTAGGTTGCCTGTTCACTCTGATGATAGTTTCTTTTGCTGTGCAGAAGGTCTTTAGTTTAATTAGACCCCATTTGTCAATTTGGGCTTTTGTTGCAATTGCTTTTGAAGTTTTTGTCATGAAGTCTTTGCCCATGCCTGTCCTAAATGGTATTGCCTAGGTTTTCTTCTAGAGTTTTTATGCTTTTGGATTTTATATTTAAGTTTGTAATGCATTGTGAGTTAATTTTTGTATAAGGTGTAAGGAAGGGGTCCAGTTTCAGTTTTCCGCATATAACTAGCCAGTTTTCCCAGCACCATTTACTGATTAGGAGATCCTTTCCCCATTACTTGTTTTTATCAGGTTTGTTGAAGATCAGATGGTTGTAGATGTGTGGTGTTATGTCTGAGGTTTCTGCTCTGCCCCATTGGTCTATATGTCTGTTTTGGTACCAGTACCATGCTGTTTTGGTTACTGTAGCCTTGTAGTATAGTTTGAAAGGACAAGTTAAAACTGTTTTCAAACAGTTTGTATTAATTTACACACCCACTAGTAGTGAATGAGAGTTCCCATTGTGTTCTTGCCAACACATAGTATTGTCAATTTATTTTTGCATTTCCGATTAATGTGTGATAACATCCCAAACTTGTATGTTTGCATTTTCATTCCTCTTTTATTCTTTTCATGATGTTCATTAACTTCTGCATTCGCAGAGTTCATGAATTCTTCTGCATTCTTATGCAGAAACAGAGATAACATACAGCCCCTCTCTTTTATTTTAATGCTTTCTCTCAGGGTTAGAAGTGCTTTTATAGATATTATACAAATTTCTTTCAGCTTTATTTTTCATGCCTCCTGTGACACTCATCCTTTACAGGATATTGACATAAGGCTTATAGTGTTCTGTCAATATACAAAATGGCAAGAAGCCACACTGTAAACTCAGAGTTTACCCTTCCTTTGAATTTCTCTTCACAGCTTCTCTGGATAGTTTTCTTTTAGGAGATGCTCTTTCCCACTGGAAAGAAAGAAAGAAAGACCAAGAAACACTCTGCATAAGTGAACACACAGAACGCAAGAAACTAGAACATTATCCGGGAAATATCAACAGCTCTGGTCATTCTTTCACATCTCCAATGGCTCAAGTAGCAACCTGAAAACTTTTCTCCAAGTTTCATGGCCCTTAATGTTTTCTCTTAATATGAAAGTATCTTTCTCACTCCATCCATCCCAAAATTTAATGTATTACAAATGGAAAATTATTTTAATTTGAATTGTGTAATTTTAACAATGAATCATCTTTGTCATTGATATTAAACATATCATACCATCAGCATTTAATCTATTGATAATTGTCTGCAGTACAGTACTGATAAATCCCTCTCAGAAAAGCTGTGACCTAGCATCCCAAATCTAATCTGGAGTTCTGGAATACAGAGCTAGGAATGAGATTGACTGGTATAAGTATAGACTATGTATTATATGTGTCTGGAGGCAAAAAATACCTGAAAGATAGTCTTCAAGGGTAAAGCTTGGGTTAAAAAGTCAAGTGAAGTATAAATCCAAGGATTTATATTTGGCCAGACAAAGGATTGGCTTTGTGGTCTCTTGGATCACTTATTTTGGGAAAAGCCAACTGCTCTGTTGTAAGAACACTCAAAAAAGTTCCATAGAGCAGTCCATGTGATGAGAAACTTGGGCATCCTGACAATAGCCACATGAGTGAACCAACTTAGAAGGGGATGCTCCAGCTCCAAACAAGCCTTCAGATGACTGTAGGACTAATCAATATCTTTACTGACATCTCTTGAAAGACGCTGAGCCAGAACCAACCAGCTAAGTCGTGATTGTATTCCTAACTCACAGAAACTGGGAGATAACAAATATGTTTTATTCTAAGCTACTAAGTTTCAGGATAGTTTTTAAGCAATAATAAATATCTATTTTGCCTCTTTTATTTTTCTTTATTTGTATAGGACTTATTACTACCATAATATATAATTTATTTATTTTGATTATTGTATAACTCCCCATTTCTAAAATATAAATATACGGAGAGATAGATATATGTGAGATAGATTTTATTACTTAGTTTGCAGTAGGAAACCAAGGTCCTTAGCAGCTATGTATTTGCCCTTGGTCACATCACCAAGAAATAACAGAGCTAGATAGAAGTTGATTCCAAATCAGACTAGTATTGTATTTTCTGTTTCTGAAAATAGTGTTTAATGTACATCAGTCCTGAAGATATGGCAGTTGTGTTTTTCTTTGTACAATCACATTCCTTTTTTTTTCAGGTAATATGATGCAAGCACACATAGAAAAGTACCAAGGCAGCTTAAGTTATCACTTATAAGCAGAATGTGAAATGTCACATCTCAAGAAATATCAGGCTGTCTCAGAGGAACACTTTGAAGACAGTAGCCACTCAACTTTCTCACTTACCTTTGCATACTCTGTGAATTTACCTACATGCTAGAGTACAGCTAAGTAAACATTATAAATTTTATTTGGTGCAGGAGAAAGCCCTGGTCATAAGTAATGATTATATCATGCTAAAAGTGTAGTCAAGCATGATGTCTCTTGGATGACTAGCAATGGAAATTATTAATCATTTAATCGAAGAATTCACTGCAGAGAGACTTGTGAACAAAGATCATGCTAATATTGTTCTGAAGGTCTCAATTCATTTTCTCTAATAGAAAAAAGTAAGCCATTATTTATCTTCATAATAAAAACTCATCATATTCCAAGATGTCAATAACAGTGAGATAGAATTTTGCTATAAAATGCTATGAAATCTTCAACCTAGCAGTTTACAACCAAGTATACTTGAAGTGCTCATGGAAAAGATGATTTTCAAGTGGCCAACAGAATGATTACATGTATTAGAAATACTTCTGCAGTGTTCCCAAACTCTATACAGCTGTCCCTGTAGCCATTCTTCAGCCCACCAAGATATCCTGATCTAGCTTCCCAAGAAATCAGATATGCCTCTGATTTGAAAACAACTCCATATACACACAGTACACATATAGCATGGCAAAAAAGGGAGCCTCTGCTTTAAAAAATTTTATATGTGTAATTCGTTCTCAAATTCTATTTCTGACCTAAACTATACTGTAAGAGGCTCCTAACTAGTTTCTAATCACATTATTCTCAAAATGTACCAAGGGCACTGCTGCCAAAATTTGTTTTCAAAAACTCAAATATGACTATGCACAGTTTCTGCTGATAACCCTTCAACAGTTCCTTTTGGCTACAGGATAAAATTCAAGCTCCTAATGTGGCATAAACCCTTCATTATAAATCCCCCTCCTTGTGTTCCAACTGCATCTCTCATTACTCCCTACCTTGCACTGCATGCTCCAACAATTTCAAATAACTTACAGTTTGTATTCCTACAACCCTGTGCATTTTCTCATGCTGTCCCTTCTACCTAGAACAACTTCTAATTATCTCCCCCGACAAGCTAACCCCTGCTTATCCTTTAAGACTCAACTTGAGCATCACACTATTCCCAAATTTTTCCTGAGCTTTCCAGGCCTGATTGTAGCTAAATACAGTTTGCATAGCCATATCACTCTACTTTAGTGATGTGATAACTATTTGTTTAGGCATTTATCTCCCCTACCACAAGTTGATCTCCAAGAGCACATGAGCAATAGATTTTTTCTTTCCTGCCTAGTGTTAGAAGTTTGGGATGTGGCTTTGGTGCTAGAACATTATTATCATTCTGCCTTCCTTCAGGGGTATTCTGCCAAAAGGGCTAAATATAAAAGCAACTATAGCAAAATAGGTAATGAAAAATAAGCTTATTGACCACTAGGTAATTACTGATTCTTACAAATTCAGGGATTCTTCAGTTAGCTCCGCTGATGGGAAAGGGTTAGGCCTTGAAGAATATATGGAACTTCCCTTGATCTGTTTCTCTGAATCCAAAATGGCCACCACTGTGGATGTAGAAGGGACTCACTTTACCTACTTTAATTGCTGTCAGAACACAGAGAGCCAGATAACTGCTGGGCCTGCTGAGGTAAGCCCTGCCAGGTACACTTACCAAATAGATTTAAGGAGTATGAGAAAAGAAGTGGAATTTGAGACTATGTTTTACATATAGTAACCCGACACCCCAGTAAAATGAGTCCCAGTGACTATCTCAGGCTTTGGACAGTTTAGCAATTTCGTATCCTTTAGGAAGGCCCTAGAAAGATGGTTACACAAAGTGACCATGTCTGTTCCCTGCTGCTTCCTCTCCTATAAATTCCTATATCAATTTATACAGTGAAAGTTTCGCATACATCATATCATATCATCTTCCACAAAACTCAGTTGTTAAACATTAATGTCTGTATTTATAGGTAAGAAACTTGAGAATGATAAATGGGAAATAATTAGCATGGCCGTAAAGCTAATGAGCAGCAAAATCAGGACAAGACCCCAGGTCTTCTAAATGCGAAACTATGGTATTTTCAATGCAGTACTTTGCAACAGAGAATGCTGTAAATGCCCATGCATGAGTGATTCTCCACTGGAGTGACAGAAAGACTAAAGATGTTATAAACACCTCTGCAGTGTTCTCAAAATTTATATGACTGTCCTTGTAACCATTCTTGAACCCACTCAGATATCCTGTTCTGGCTACCTAAGGAACTCTGTTATGCCTCTATTTCGAAAACCCCATGTGCGTATAACAAATAGATAGCATGGAAGGAGAGGAATGTAAGTGCAAACAAATAGTCCCTCTAGGCTCTTTATTTATGTATGCATTTATGTCAGGAACCCTAGGTATAGCCTAGTTATTTCAACCTATGATTCAGACAAAATCCTGCCTGCCTGCAGGACTAAAAGATTGGGTCTAAAATGGTGTTTATGTGAGGGACTGTGATTTCCAGAAAAATCTCAGAAGTGGAAAATCTCACTTTCCTTGGTACTGAGATTTCCATAGGGAATCTCATCCAGAGAAAAAAAGGAAGTTCAAACAAGGCTGCAGTTCAAGCAGAAGAAGGTTTGCCAACCTCAGGATTCAACCTTAGAAGAAAACGAGAAGTAGGATGTGAGACTTCTTTCATGTTGTTTATCCTAGCACACCAGAGCATGACAGATGCCAGAAATTCAAAGCAGAGGTTTTGCTGGTAAATAAAATATATATTCGAGGTGAGACTCCCCCTCTTTGGCTGTAGAGATTTGAGTACAGTAAAGATAATATATGATAATAAGTCTTTTCCACAGTTGACAACAACCCCAAAGTCGTCTCACAAAAAAGTTTAAAAATTCAAGTGCGATGGACACAGGGTGGGGAACATCAGACACTGGGGTCTGTCGCGGGGGTGGGATGATGAGGGAGGGATAGCATTAGGAGAAATACCTAATGTAAATGACGAGTTGATGGGTGCAGCAAACCAACATGACACATGTATACCTGTGTATCAAACCTGCACGTTGTGCACACGTATGCTAGAACTTAAAGTATAATTTTTAAAAATTCAAGAGTGAACAGTTTAGAAAATCAGTGAAATGAAATGTTTTGGTATATTTTCACCAAAAACGAGTTCCAATTTTTTAACTGTCACTTGAAAGGAATCATTACATTTAATGTAACATATGTTTTGTAAAACACTTAATTCTGTGATGTACTAGATTAATAGAAAAATAGCAGAAAACTAACTTAATCATCTCCACCTCAGATCTTTGATACTTAGATATATAAGGTCTTCATTCTGACATAAATATATGTTGAAGTACTTCAAAAATGTGTAGACTTGTTAAAAACAATTGTGAACTGACAATCCGCTAACCTAACTATAAGACTTTGCCCCTGGAATCTAGGGCTGTCATCAAATATCCA